>NW_003571050.1:0-204135 GCF_000001405.40 Homo sapiens
ACTATGAAAATGCCCTCTACTCTTGATAGTTGATATTAGGATATTAATTTCTATTTGCTCTGAAACATGTTTTAAAAAACAGCAACTCTAAAGAAAGGAAGAGTTACAGAAGAGAGAAACAGGGATACACAGACAGAGTCAGAAACAGAGACAGAGATAAAGAGATCCAGCCAGCTGTACATAAGATTCCCTACATTACAATTACAGATACACTAATTAAGTTTTAGGAGTAATTAATCACATAAAACATTAATGCAAGAACTGAAGTTAATTTAGAAACATCTTATCTTTGTTTGTCCTAGAAAAGCATAGTTTCTCTTCAGATTTGTTTATGTTGTTGGAATTTTCTTCCTTTTAGAATAGACATTACTTTCCAAATCACCTTTAGAGATGCATGTCTTAATTTATTGTTCCCCAGTATTAGGATAAATGAATGACTTGAGGGGTAGATTAGAGCTATGGACTCACCAAAAATCACAGCTAATTCCGTCTCTGGCATAAAGTAGCTGGAGGTGGCAATGAGAAAGGACAAATAGTAGGCAATAAAGAGGAGAAGGAAGGAAATGACAGCTTTCAGGGCTCTCACATGGGCTTCTGTGCTGGGGTCTCTGCACCCTGTGGCACTGAGCTGCATTCGCCTGATATGTCTCCGCAGGGAGAGGATCAAGAGGAAAAAGGACATTAGGCACACACAAAAGGGGAGCAGCGTTGCCAGGTTGAGAAATAACTTGGTAGAAGCATGTTGAGTTTTATTTACTCTGCAACTCCAAGTTAAGTTTGTTTTCCTCTTTGCCTTCACACAAAACCTGAAATCAGCGTTCAAATTCTCAGTGGCTGGAAGGCTAATAAACACAGAGAGAACCACGCACCCCAGTAGAATCCAGGAAATCACCCTGTCAATTCTCCACTTCATCCAGAGGAAAAGTGGGTGAAAGAAATTACCTATCTTGAAGAAATAGTAAATGCTGAGGCAGGTTGCAAACCAGATACTTAAATGATTGGTTAGTGTCCAGAAGAAGTCAATGATTCTCATTTCTTTACCAGTGGCATAGACATCTGGATATAGCACCAATATAAAACAATCTAATAGTATTACGCACAATAGACAAATTCTGGATATGGCCAGACTTGTGAGGATTAAATCAATGGAGGCAATTTTCCTCTTCTTGACCCAGTCCATGCAGTTTACCAATCCAATGAATGCATTCCCTAAGATCCCCACTGAAAACTCTCCAACTGCTAAGAACAATAAAGTAGTCTGCACTTTATCTGCCATGTTTAAATATGCAATTAGTTTCTAGTTGACCTGATGGAGTTTGACATCCACACCTGCTTCTTAGATTTTGATGTAGTTTTCTTTACCTCTTTGTTGTAGTCTGTTTTGTGATGGAGACTGGAATGATAAATGAAGACTGGAGCTATCTTCATTAAATCCTAATTAGTCTTGACAAACAATGTGTTTGGCGATCCTTGGCCTGGCCACTGTATGCCCATTTACCTACTCAGCAGGTTGTAATTTTCCACATACGGTTAATTTAGGCTGAGCTACTGTTTACTAAGATGCAAATTGGGCCAATTCCCTTTCATGGTCCTGCATTGTCTTTCTGAGGCTAAGGTGTACGCATTTTGGATTCATTAATTTGTGATGTATGCTAGTAACCTCAATAGGGTTGCTAGATTTAGCGACTAAAAATTCAGGACACTCAGTTAAACTTGAATTACAGGTAAAAAAATCAATAATTTTTTAGTGTATGTCCCTGATTACTTAAGATCAGTGCTTTCAGGAAGTACTGAAGTTCAAATTAGATTGAGTGTTCCATTCTGGCAACCTGAACATCAAGAATTTGGTAGCAAGTATAAAACTGGTAAAATTGGAAAGTTCTTGAAGAATTTTTATTTTGCTGAATGTTAATATTGATAATTAGTAAAGAATCCAAAGTTTGGTTCCATAGTGAGAGTTATATATTTTCAGGAACTTTAAAAAGTTAACACTAAATGTAGGTTATTTGATTCCAAAGAAACTTTAGGTCATTATTTTGGCTGTTCAGATGAACAATTACATGGCATAGTGTCTCTTAATACAACACATTGTCTTACTGACTAAATGACTTTTAATGGTTATTTAGCAATGTTATATATAATAAGGTAGAGGACCTGTAATAAAAAAAGACTATTGATTACCTTAAATTTTTCATTTTCACTTAAAATGTTCTCAAGGAAACTTTGAGAGGTATTAGATATGTCCATTACCTTGTTTGTGGTGAAGATATCATGGGTGTTTGAAATTTTATACATTAAATATATGCGGTTCTTTTTATACCAATTATACTTTCATAAAGATTTCAAAAATTTAAAAAATGTTCTCAAGGGTAGTTGTATGCATGAGAGAGGAGATAGTAAAATTCTGTATTTCATTCTCTCCACTGTCCTCCATACAAATTGCATGAGTATCTAGATCCTCAACCCTTCTAGCAGGAGACTGAAGATTAAACTTTCCACATCTCTAGAGATGAATTTTTAGTTTGAAATAGCTTCTCTAATTTAGAGTTACTGAGAAGCGCTTTACTACATGGGGTTCCATAGAATAGTTCTTGGGTATTCACACCTTCCTGGGAATGCATGTCTTCTCTTATCCTTCCTTAAAGGACAAACCATCATTCCGGAGATGTAGCCTTAACTTTTGGACAATCTGTATGATTATGTAGCCATGTTCACAGGCAACTGGAACATCACCTATGATAGGACGATCTTGGATATGATCCCTGACCTAGACTTATCATTTCTTTTGTTTTTTTTTTGAGATGGAATTTCGTTCTTGTTGCTCAGGCTGGAGTGCTATTTTGGCTCACCGCAACCTCCATCTCCCAGGTTCAAGTGATTCTCCTGCCTGAGCCTGCCAAGTAGCTGGGATTACAGGCAGGTGCAACCATGCCTGGCTAATTTTGTATTTTTAGTAGATTCCGGGTTTCTCCATGTTGGTCAGGCTGGTCTTGAACTCCCGACCTCAGGCGATCCGTGTGCCTTGGCCTCCCAAAGTTCTGGGATTACAGGTGTGAGCCACTGTGCCTGGCCTAGACTCATCATTTTTACCCTACAGTTTATCCTGGTAAATGAAGTGCTCATGGGAACTATGATGATGTATTTTCTCAAATAATTTTTAGACTTGTTTTTGTTTAGTTTTGGAAATAAATGTAGATTTTATGAATACCAATGTTGTATAGCGTGAAGTTATGTGAATATATAGTTAAAAAAAAAGTTCTATGAGAGAGCATTTTGTCAAAAGCTTACTACTTTGAACCCCAGTCACTGTGGTCACTAGAGATGCTTGAAACATTAGAGAGGCAGGAAACAAAATATGGAAGAAAAAAACTTAACCCTAATGGGGTAAAACCTTCCCAAAAGTACTAATTCAATAAAACGTTTATTTCACTTAAACCTTAGGAAAAATATAAAGTTCATCCTAGTATAAAATCTACCTGTATTTTGTAGAATACATTAATATATTTCATCAAGAGAACATGAATTCTTGTGTCTTGTAAAACAAAGAGTAACATATACAGCTAGCATATTAGAAATATAGTTCATAAAATTTATATACTTGGGGCTATAAATATTAGTACTTTACAGAGTGAGTTTTACATAATAATAAGACAAACAACTGATAATTTTCCGGTAATTAGTATTTTAGTTATAATAAAAGGAAATTAGTAGATTGAAATACATCAGAATTAAACAGAAAGTAATGGGAGTAAAAGCAATAATGTACAGCCATATTAGTACATACACAACCTGAGATATGCCAGACCAAACGTTTCAATAATATTATAGTGAGGATGGATTTCATGTTCACAGAAAAATTAAAAATTTTAGTGACTTATTTTCCTTTTTTTTTTAATAAAAATTTATCTGTATTTTTTGTAAACATTCGTTTCTTCTTCCAGGGACAGTATGTGCTTATTCCATGGTATACGCTATTTTCTTCCCAATTTATTTCTTTTGTTAAGTCCTGAGTGAAAACCTTTGCAGGGTCTGGTTAGAGAAAAGAACCTGATTGAGCAGTCTGACTAATATTTGTTATCCCCATTCTTTTATCCAGATTGTGAAGAGGGCTTAGGAACACCCCTTGGTGGGTGGCACTTGAATGGGTTCGATTCCCACCTAGGTGCTGCATGAAAAGCAAGTTGTTTGAGAGGAAATTTAATTCCAAGGAAAATCAATAGAAATCATCAGAATAAGGTCAACCAGAAAATATTACCTAGGAGACCATGGAAATCATCATTCGGGAAAACCAAAGACAGACCAGAGAACATCTGAGTTCCTAATCAATAAGCCAAATGGGGGTGACTCAGCAGAGCCATGAAAGGAGCACAATTAAGGAGCGGCAATAAAAATGTATGACAAAGAAAAATGAGAAACCAGTTACTGTAGCTCAGGTCCACTTTACCATGAGCCAAAGTAAAATCTAAAAAGACTTTAACTAGGCAATACAGGCCTAACACTTGCGTTGAGGAGACAAGAAGAGAAGCATGAGCTCTGAAATTCTTCGAGGAAAGGGAGTGTAAAGATGAGCATTTCTGAGTTGTAAAGGGATAGAAAAGATGTATTCAGTAGTTTGCTACTAGGTCCTAATAATATTTAAAGATATGCATCCAAAATAAATGAGATAACTGGGGAAAAATGAGAATAGACTATTAAGAAAACTATATTTTTTGTTAGAGAAGATTTGGTTTTAAATTCCATTTATACAGCTAAGATTTCATATCATGCAGGCAATTTTTCTACATGTCAGCATTCTGACAAATGTCTGCCTCAGTTTATTATTTAAAACAATTAAAATAAGTGAGTGACCCAAGGGGTAGAGAATTGCTGCAATCTCTCCAAACTCCACAGCTAACTTGTATTTTGTCATAAGATAGCTAAAGGTCATCAAAATAGAAGAAATATAGTATAGGAAAAAAAAGAAGATAAATGAAGTCATAGTTTTAATGGCTCTCACATGAACTTCTGTGCTGGGGTCTCTACTGCCGGTAGCATAGAGTTTTATTTGCTTGGTATGTCTCCATAAAGATCTTACTAAAAGGAAAAATGATATCAGTGACACAATAAATGGGACAATTGCAAACAGGTTAAAGAGAGTCAAGGGTTCAAAGTATGGTATTTTACTCACATGGAACATTTCAGTAATGTTTCTTTTATGTTTGGCAATTGCATGAAACCTATAATCACAACTCAGTACTATTGCTGCTATAAGGCTGACCAACAAGGAAATGGCAAAGCATCCCAGCAGGATCCAGTGCACCACCATATCAATTTTCCACTTCAGCCAGAGAAAAAGTGGATGAGAGGAACTGGCTATCTTCAGAAAATAGAAGACATTAAGGCAGGTGGTAATCCACATATTTAAGTAGTTGGCAAATGTCCAGAAGGTAAAAATGACTATCTGTTGTTTATTTTTTGTATAAACATCTGGGTTCAGTACTATTACAATGCCATTTACAACCATTACACTGATCAAACAAATTCTGGCGATAACTAAATTGGTAAGGATGTAGTCAACTGTGGAAATCTTTTTCTTCTTAATCCAGTCAATCCAGTTGACTAGTGCAATGTATCCATTCCCCAATATTCCTAGTATGAATTCTCCAGTTATTAGGATTATAAAGATGTTATCTGCAGGACTGAACATGTTTGTAGAGAGAACAATCTGATTTCAAATATCACTGTAGATGAGCTAATTTACAGGTGACCTGTTAAAGCATGATAGATCAATTCTTCGAATCATGCAATAATGTTTTCATCTGCTGTTATTTCGACGTTGTTATTCTTCCGGAAGTGTTCAGCTCTCCTCTGAAATAGGATTGTCTCTACACTCCTGAAGATGAAACCAACTAATGAGCAGCTTGACTAGTTATTTATAGCCTGGAAAAATTATAATTATTATCCTTTAGTGAGTGATACCTGAAATGTTTGGCTGAAATTGCTCCCATGCAAATTCAAAGAGATTTTATATCATGAATTTGCAACAGGCTTCTTGCTGTAGCTCTATATTTGGATCTTCAAATTGAGTTTTGAATAGGGAGTCATAAAAAAAGAGATAAATGTTTAATAAAAACCCAACTGTGTAAATAAAACTTCATTTTCATCATGTAAGTTATAAATAAGCCACAAATCAGTTCTCCCAGATGCAAAGAAATTTTCACTTTGGAAGTAATTAGTACAATTAGATTGTAGATATTTAACATTTAGTCAGAGGATAATAATTCTTGTCTTCATTTAAACGGCTAATTAGGGAAGGATATAATACAAATCTAATTAGAAATGACTTTTTTTTAGGCAGGCACATGATAATATTTACTAAGAATTTGCTTTCTTTTCAATTGTTCCTCAGAAGTGAAATATGCCAGGTAAAGATTTGTTATCTTTAGTTTTTTTTTAATGTGACAAATACCCTTGAAGACAATTCATTTCCTGAATCACTGTCTCTTGTATAATAAGCATTGTAATCTAAAATTAAGAAAATTTAAATTTTACATTATTCTAGTTCCAATCAACTCCTTTTATAAGATTTGTAATCTCACAGTGCATATTATAGTCATATTTCTAGATAGGGCAAACACATAAAAAAGTAACTACTTGGGAGACTGAGGCAGGGGGATCATTTGAACCGGGAGGCAGAGGTTGCAGTGAGCCAAGATCGTGCCACTGCACTCCAACCTGGGCGATACAGTGAGACTCTGTCTCAAAATAATAATAATAATTTTTTTTTTTTACATACCAGTATTTCCAAGGAATAGGACTAATTCTACTATTAAATTAGATTTATTTGTTTTGGGGTAAGGGAAAGTACAACTTAGCCCAAAATACATTTGAATGTAGGTAATACAAATCACAATACCCTAGGGCTTCTTGTATTTAAATAGTTCTACAATGTATACAACACATGCAGGATTTTTTCTATTTCTTACATGTGTGTAATGTGTAACAGGAAAGCATAAACTTAATAACTTAAAGAAACCTAGTTATCTATAAACTACTGCTGGAAACAAAATAGAAAAGAAAATGATGCAGAGGGAAAAAAATATGTCAGAGATTTCTGAGTTAGAAGGCTAGAGAGAACATTCCAGGGAATCTTTGGGAAATGACTTCTAAAATTGCCATCACCAGCTAGAGTACTCATGAACACGCTGACTACTGGGACCCTCAACCTTCTTTCTCAAGGTGGTTCTGCTATACATAACTGTGCCTCCTCTCTCTGTCAAACTTTCATTCTTGAGATTATACTCCTTTTCCCACATCATATATCATCTTAGATAGAATCTCATTAAAGATTGTTTTTCTCCCTTCTTGATCAAGACAAACCCTTCCAGAAATGGAGAGGAAAGGGCGGTGAAGATAAGGACCGGCCTTCATTTCAAAGTAGAGAGTTGTTTTGCATGATTGATTTTATAGCAAGGGTTGATGAGTTCTAAAATCTTTTCCCCAAAGCCTGTTTGCCTGACATTCTTCTACTCATTGAGTTCAAGGCCTTTGCCAGTATTTGTCAGAAAAGAAGTAGAACCTCTTTGTATTTAGTCAATGACATAAAATGATGAAATGTTAGTGTGGGATTTAGATGCATTTTTTTTTTCTGCAACGACAAAGAATATACGGTGCAATGATAACATTAGATTATCCATTAAACAAGACAAAAGTGTGAAGGAACACAAAACAAATCTTCAGAATCATGACAGATATTAATGACTTCCAATAGCATATAAGAGAAAATGAATGCAAACAAGAGAAGGGAGAATGCCTTTTGTTGATTTCTTTCATCCTTGTAGTCAGGATACTCTTTAGGGGTCTCTATGGAACAAAAGGCTTTCTTCTTCTAAGGAAACACTTCACAAATCTTAACATCTTCAGAAAAGCTTCCCTCAACTTGCTATTTCCCATAATTAGAATGAATGAATGGCTTGATGGGAAAATGACAGTTACTATGTCACCAATCATCAACACTAATTTTCCCTGAGGAATCAGAGCGCTAGAGGTCATAACAAGAAAGACTGGGTAGTACACGATGAGGAGGAGCAGAAAGATGATCACTGCCTTTATGGCCCTCATGTGGGCCTCTGTACTGGGGTCTCTGAACCCTGTAGCATGCAGTCGAATCTGCTTGGTGTGTCTAACTAGGGAGAAAAGTAACAAGAAAAATGAGATCAGGCAAAGGATAAAGGGAACCATCACCCCCAGGTTCAGGGTTAACTGTTTGAAAGTACCTGGAATTTTACTCACTTTGAATTTCCAAGTAATGTTTTCTTCATGACTGACTTTGAAAAGGTGATACCACATATCATCATTCTTTGGAACACTAATAATTAAAGAGATAAGAAAGGACCCCAGAAGAATCGCAAGCATGACCTTGTTGATCTTTAGCTTCAGCCAGAAGAAAAATGGGTGCGATATATTGGCTATCTTGAGTAAATAGAAGATACTGAGGCAAGAAGTAAACCAGAGACTTGAATTATTGGCAAATGTCCAGACAACATTCACAATGCTTACTAGCACGCTATTGCCATATGTACCTGGAAAGAGCAGCATAAAGAAGCCATCTAATGATATTACACACAGCAGACAGATTCTGGAGATGGCCAAGCTGATCAGGATGATGTCAATCAAGGAAATATCTCTTCTTTTGAGCCAGTCAATGCAGTTAACTAGTACAATGAATCCATTTCCCCAAATCCCTATGGTCAATTCACCAGCAATTAAAATAATATATATTGCCTCTATTGCACTTGGCATGCCAGCAAAGACTTGTGATTTTTGAATATCACTGATGATGAATTGACTTTCAGCTGACCAGTGAAGAACAATGTATCTGTCTGCCTCTTAGACCATGATATAGTTGTCTTTATCTCTCCTTTTTGTTAGCTGTGATGCAGATGAAGAAGATAGCCAGTCCTGCTCTGGGCTAGAGCTGCCTAAAGACTTCAATGATTGGGGCCAGTAATTTCCTTTGGTGCAGTGATGACTGAAAGCCTCTAGGATGCAAATGGGAATGGATCTGATTTCTTAAATTTGCACACTCTTTCTTATTTTAAGCTCTGTATATTTTGGATTTATCAATCTGAGCTGTTGACCAGGAACTTCAAGAAGGTATCAATTACTTGGAAAATATGGCTAGAATTTAATTTGCTGGATGACTATCCATCCTTGTTAGTATATTGACATAGTTATTGCTATTACAGATTCTAGGTTTACTGTGTTAGCTTGTGTGGCCAGTTTGCTTGCTTGGTTGACTAAAGCTTTAAACAAATTATTATTAACATTAAATGAGGCTTAAATGGCATAACTGGTGGAATGTAGAGGAAAGAATCTAAAGGTGTAGGAAGATAGGAGTATTAAGGTGAATTTATCATATGCGAACTTCACCTTCTCCCCATTATATGACTTAAGAGGGCCAAAAGGACACTCCATTCACTAGGGCATTGAGAAATACATTAATTAGGTAATTCCCAATATCCTCAAAAAGCTCTGCAGTGTTTGTCTTCTCAACTGAAGATACAATGAGGGAAATAAACATGACATTGTAGTGTTGTCAGCAAATGAGACACGGAAAATTCTGGTTTAGATGTTAGGGTTTCTTAGAGTGTTCTTGCTTTGTACCTGAATGTAGCTTCCATACATAGAAAAAATAGTCAAAATACTGGTCACTTATCTTTAGAATGGAAACAGATCAGCCTGAACAGTGAGGAGGACAAAGAGCAAGAAAGTGATATTTTTGGAACTAAAAAGCGTGATAGATATACAAGACTCTTCAGTCTGAACTGAGTGATAAGAATACATGCTCTGAATTTTCTTAGCTCTATTTTTTGGCAGCAGGTGTATTATAAATATTAGTATGCTAATTATACACACATTGGAAACACACTGTTTCATTGGGACATATTGAAACATGTCATTGGGCATAGTAGAACATATTTGAAATAATAGAAAAAGGCACACAGCAATACACAGTTCCCAGAAATATTATTTTGAAACTAATATTAAATTTTAAGGCAATATTAAATATTGCTTATCAAACAAACACAACAATACAAAGTATTTAATGAGATAATGTGTCATATGTTCAGGGTTTTAGACAAAATAAAGAGATAAAAATTAATCTTGCAGATTTTTATGAGAAAGTAAATAGCTATTGTTATTCTATTCAGTGAAATTTGGGGTTTCTTTCATGCTTCTCTGTGAATTTTGTTTCTGAAGAAATATCAGATTATACAACTCAAAAATACACACTGTGCTTGTCATGACCAAAGCCATAAAACAGGTAATATTCTGAGAAGGACTTCACTAGAGTAAAGAAATTGATTTGCATGCAACTGACAGACAAGGTCGCACCATGTTCACATCTCAGGGAATGCAATATTTCATTATTTTAATTAAACTTTTTGAAAGATAAAATTTTGTGGAGGGGAATAAAGTAGGTTCAAGGTTATTATTTGGAAATGGAACTACTCTGGGATCAATTTGTAATGTCCAGAAAAGATGAAGATGAAAATATATCATGTAGGAGGGTGATTAATAACTGACATATTAAAAATTCCTGGTAAATCCAGATATAGAATCCAAGCTTGCCTTCTGAATCATGGTCTTTCCCACTACCTCACTTCTTTTCCTTAGCCGTGTGGAATACTGATCAATTTAAGAAAGTTATGCCTATATTCAAATGTAAACGAAAATATGCTATAGGATATGACCAGAGTTACCTAAGGGCCTATACTTACTAAAATGCCACCCTCTTTTATCTTTCCTTGCTATAAATAAAACCCAAATGATCTCAATTTATTTGACACCGTTGAATATGTTTTTTTTGTGTGTATTGTGTGTGTGTGTGAGTTTATGTGTTATTTGCCCTTTGGATTTTATCTTAGCATTGAGAAGTTAAAGAGGGATCCTAGCTGACAGACTTTAACATCTATTTTCATTGCAGAAACACTTTAATCTAGAATGTTAGTTTATTGATTATTTCTGTCTCTACTAGAAAACAGATGAAATACTGGGAAACTTATGACATCATTTCCTGTATGTCTTTCTATGAGAAGTGAGCAAACACAAACCTACTTAGGCAGATATTTCTTAAATTTCATTTTCTTTCCTTTGTTTAAATACTTTTTACCATTCTTTAGAACCTTACATCTTTTACAGGCATTTGTCCTTGAGTTATGCCACTGATTATTACTGATCAAGAGAAATGACTATACTCTTCAGATTTATAAATCAAGAACAGGATACTGCGATACTGTCCTATTTTCTGACAACTTATATTTTGAATAGTTGCTGACTTTATCTCCTACCCCATTCTAAACTCTTCACTATATCCATTGGGATCCCTAGTAAACCATTAGCAGAAGCCATATATTCTCATTTGTTTCTCTAACAGTTCACTTTATTTTCTTCATTTGAACTCGAGGTTCTGGAACTTTTTTGTTCAATGGACTACTTTGCCAGTCTGGTGCATGCTATAATTTCAGAATAATGTTTTTAAGTGCATGAAATAAAAATATTTGAAATGTATAAGGAATCCATATATATATGCCTTTTTCTTGCAGTATGAAATATATTGTTAATATAATATAGGAATTTATGTGCTTTTTAATTGACATAACAAAAATATCTGGCAGATAAAGACTAGTGGTGAAAGTAAATGACAATAGGAGGTACCTGTAACGACAAAAATTTTTGGCTTCCTGAAGTGAAAAAATTACAGATACTGCTGGTATGGTATGTGCTTGTTACTTACATTCAAGACAGAAGAAATACTAGACTTAAGCTAAGGATTAATAAAAATAAGTATATAATTTGGTGCCCCTCCCAGTTCATTCATCACTCATGTCCATGAATCTTTTCATTTTAATACTCTACAATTAAATCCTGTGGCAGCTGTTTTCTCTCTCACACCCTCATAGAAGTGGGTCTAAAGCTGGGATGGGTGTTTTTCTTTCCCTCTCGTAACTTTCAGATTACTCTACTCTCTTTCCTTTTTCCTTTTTTTTTTTTTTTTTTTTGAGACAAAGTTTCACTGTGTTGCTTAGGCTGTTCTTGAACTCCTGGCCTCTAGTGATCCTCCTGCCTTGGCCTCCCAAAATGTTAAGATTACAAGTGTGAGTCACTGTGCCTGGCCAGATTATTCTCCGTCTAATTCCTCACAAGACATACAGCAGTTCATTATCTCCTGTCATCACTCTATACAAAATATTACCTTTCCTTGTCACAATCATAAGCCAGTCTTCCTTCCTTGATTTTTGCTTTCTACCTGAAATTAAGTAGTTAAATATACTAAATTTCACCACCATTCTTTTTGCTAAAGTTCCCCTATCTTTTTGTTGGATGAAATAATCTTCTATTTTTTAAAAAAATTCATTCAGTAATCTTGTTTGTTGTATTTTTCTTTTTTTAAAATTTAATTATGGACATATAATAGTTGTACAGATGTATGGGGGTACATGTGAACCTCATGAAAACAGAGCAATATAAAGACCCCTGTTGAGAAGGGATAACATGAATGAGAAATATGCATGTCTCTTTAAGAAGAGGAACAGTCTTAATTAATGGATAACTATATAGAGTCAATAATTCAAGCATAAAACACTTTATTATAATAGCATATTGGGAATAGTCTTGTCTATTTGTATAAAAATGGTGAAGAAATAGAATATTTGGGATCCATGGAGACAAATAATTTATTTGCTAAATAACAAAATTTGGACAAGGCTTGAAATATATATAACAGTTAAGAGCTTCAGCTCTGGTGCCAGACAGCTGGAGTTGAAGCTTATTCTCAGTTTTAATGATTGTGTGATTTAAATTGTGCTGAATCTTTTCTTTCTCCAATGTGTAAAACATTGATCATAGTGCTATCTATCTCATAGAAATATTATACTTAAATAAAGTCTTGCATTTAAAATACTTAGAATAGTTCTTACCATATATACTCAAAAAATTTTAGGTACTATTATTATTGAATTTTTTGGCATTCCATTCAATAAATCACGATTCTCTTATCTAGTTGTTTTGCTATAGAGCCTTTATTAATGTGTCTTAATTACAATTTCCTATCCATAATATTTGGCCAAATTTCACATTTTATGATTGCCATAGTTTGAATGTTTGTATTTTCTTCAAAATTCATGTGGAAATGTAATCCCTAATGCAACAATATTAAGAGGTGGGGCCTTTTAGGAGATGATTATGATGGGTTTGCCATTATGATGGGATTAAAAGGCCTGAAGGGAACTAAATAGGTCTTTTAACCTTTCCCCTCTTCTGCCATGAAAAGATACAGCATTCAAGGTTCCATGTTGGAAGCAGTGACGAAGCCCTCACCAGACACCAAACCTGCCACTGC
Source organism: Homo sapiens (assembly GCF_000001405.40). Classification (NCBI taxonomy): domain Eukaryota; kingdom Metazoa; phylum Chordata; class Mammalia; order Primates; family Hominidae; genus Homo; species Homo sapiens. The sequence goes on from NW_003571050.1 coordinate 13,385, forward strand.
CTTAGTCTTGGACTTTCTAGCCTTCAGCACTATGAAAAAATAAATTTCTGTTATTTATAAACTACCTCATCTCAGATACTTTTTATAGCAGCAAAATGGACTAAGACAATGCCAGTCACATGAAATCATAAAATATGGCAACATAATAGTTATGGTTTAACAATTTGTTTTGTTTTCCATTACTCACTGAAAATGTAAACAAACTTAAATGGACTTAGTTGTTTTTTTCCTTCATATGTAGTTCTTTTCTTTATTCAATATTAATGCCCAGTGCATCTCATAATATTAATGGACAGGTGACTATTTTGTTTCTCTCTGCAATGGCATAAATAAAATGATTTTAACAGCATTTCAACTTAAACACAATAAATTATTTATTTATATTTGACAACACATCTAAATGTTCAGGTTAAGTAAAAATATTCTCAGATATATAGGTTTCAGACGTTTACTAAACATAGAACTTTTTTCAACATTTTGGAGGCTACATTAACAAAAACTATAATGGGGTGAGGAGATACCTATATGAATATGTGGAGTAAAGTTTATAAGAAATTTTGTAAGGCTTAGGATGTCAAAAAATTTTTTAAAAATAAGAAAAGAACATTTGTATACTATAAAAATCTTAAAACTCCAGTTGTAGGTAGAAGATCAACACATAAAACTGTGTTGTGTTTCTACACACCAGCAATCTGAACAGTGAATATAAAAGGTAAATTAAGAAAACAATTCCAAAATAATGAAATAACTAGGAATAAATTTCACCAAAGAAGCAAAATACTTATATACAAAAATTGATGAAACATTGCTGAAAGACATTAAGGAAGACACAAGTAAGTAGAAAGACATCCCATGTTCATGGATAAGATGACTTGATACTGTTAAGATATCAATACTACCCAAAGCAATCTAAAGATTCATTAAAATTCCTATCAAAAATTTCTACAGACTTCGTTTCAGAAAGAGGAAAACTAATGCTCAAATTCAGGTGAAATTACAAGGGAATCCGAATACCCAAAACAATCTTTAAAAAGGAGAACAAAGTTGGAAAACTCACATTTAATATTTTTATTTTATATATATATATATACATATATATATATACATATATATATATATACACATATATATATATATATATATATATATATATTTTTTTTTTTTTTTCCCTGTATGCCTCATTAAGTCTTCCCTGAGCCCTGGGCTGGCTTCTTCCATGGAAGATAGCAGAAGAAGCAAGGCTTGTCCCTGTTCACAGAAGATGCTAGCCAGATCAGGAGCTGAAGATAGCAAAAGAGGGAGAAGTCCAACCCACAGTCCCAGGCCCTGGTGAGTAAGGTCTGGTGCGAGGAGAAGGCTGATGATATGGAAGGGTGCTCCAGTCCTGCTTCTTCTGCTTGGAAATGGAGAATCCGGAGAACCTGGGGGATGCAAGATGGACAGGCTGCTCCTTGAGAACATCCAGTCTCCTAGAAAAAATGGGTGCTCTCAAGGTGACTGAATGAACTCAACTATGCCTTGTTATTTTAAAACCCACTGTCTGCTTTCTGAATTGACAATCAAGAATCCATGTGTGTCTTAAACAACAATTGTTCATTGTAGTAGAACCCACTGGGAGAAGCCTTTTGGCTCAGGAACTCCATCTAGCCACAGCTGATTGAATTAGGGGTGGATACCTAACCCAAGTGGAGCCAATCTTATTCTGTGCCCACTGCAATGTAAGATGTAAAATAGGTATTTTTGTCTCCTTGGATCAGTGCTGTATCTTTAGTGTCTAGAATTCTGCCTACCACACAGTAGGGGCTACATGAATATTTAATGAACAAATGAATGAATAAATAAGTCTCTGTGAGGAATTTGGAATTTTGACCTTGGAAACACAGAGAATGGCAGTTGTGGAAACTGAGTCACATTGGCTGCATAAGCTAGAAAGAACACCCACTCCTTCCCATGTCTGAGGTCTTCGGGTCTATCTCAGTCATGACTGAGTCCTGACTCTTTCTAAAGATGATTGGACTCCTCTTAACTTTAGGACAGATGGCTCAACATCCTAACTATAAAACTCCTTCCTCCTTTCCTGCTTACATTCATTTCTGTTGCAACCAAAAACCTTTAATGACATGCTGAGAAATTTTGCACCTTGACATATTCTGTTCCCCACCTTAGGAGCTTCTCTAGGAGTCATAATCACTCCTGGCTGTACCTTGGGCTGCATCCAGATCTGCCCCAATGCCACCACCCCCAGCTCTGTGGGCTCTGGCTCTAAGACTACAGGGACCCAGAAGCAGGAAAGAGTGGCATCATGGAATTCCATGTCCTTTAGGGCAGGTGGGAGGTACTATGCCTCTTCTCCATCCAAGACCGCTCACTACATCCTGTCCTCAGATATGGCTCTTGGGACCCTCAAGTCAGATACTCCTAATTTTTCATCTGCTTTTGCTCTACAGACAGAAAGAGGAGGTGCCAAAGAAATCTACAGATTCATTCAAATCCTTATTAAAAATTCTCACAGACTTTTTTTTTCAGAAACAGAAAAATTGATCCTCAAATCCATAAGAAATTACAAGAAACCTTGAATTTCCAAAACAATCTTAAAAATGGAGAACAAAGTTGGAAGGCTCACACTTAATATTTTAAAAATTCACTACATTACTTCTCAGCCTTTTGGCTAAGATCAAGTATAAAACTTACTACAAAGCTATGGTAATCAAGACTGTGTTTTATTGGCATAAGGATAGACATATAGATCAATGTAATGGAATTGAGAGTCTTGAAGTAAGCCCATATATCTATGACTAATTGATTTTGACAAGTGTGTAAAAATTCATTAGGGCATAAAGAGTCTTTTTGACAAATGATGCTAGGACAATTAGATATCCACATGCAAGAGAATGAAGTTGGACCCCTAACTCACGTCATATACAAAACTTAGCTCAATATGGATCAATGACCTAAATATAACAACTAAAACTAAATACACCTAGAAGAAAATTTAGTGGTAATCTTTATGACCTTGGATTTGGCAATGGATTCTTACATATGACATGAAAAAAGTAAGCCACAAAAGAAAAAATACTTAAATTGGACTTCACGCAAAATAAAACTTTTGTGTATCACAAGCCACTCCAAGAAAGTGAAAAGACGATGTATAGACTGGGAGAAAATATTTGCAGATCATATATCTGCGAAGGGCTTAAAATTCAGAATATGTAAAGAACCTCTACAACCCAACAAAAAATCCAATTTTAAATTGGGCAAAAGATCTCAACGGACATTTCTCCATTGATTTACAAATGTCTAGTAAACACATAAAAAGACGCTAAGCATCATTAGTCATTGGGGAAATGCAAACCAAAACCACAGTCACGTATTACTTCACATCCACTAGAATGGCTATAGTAAAAATCCTGGAAAATAACAAGGGTGGGCAAGGATGTGGAAAATTTGGAACTCTCGTACATTCTTGGTGGGAATGTACAACGATAAATCTACTGTGGAAAACAGTTTGGTGACTCCACAAGAAGCTAAGCATAGGAATTGCTGTATTATCCAGTAATTTCACTCCTAGTATACATTGAAAACAGGAACTCAAACAGATACTTATGTGCCAGTGTATATTGCAGCATAATTCACAATAGCCCAAAGGTAGAAATCACCCAAGTGTTTTTCAACTGATGAATATCTAAACAAATTGTGGTGTATACATACAATAAAATATTATTCAGTCATACAAAAGAATGATGGTCTGATACATGTTAAAATATTGGTGAGCCTTAAAAACATGCTTAGTAAACTAAACCAGACATAAAATGAGAAAATCTGTGTGATTCTACTCATATGAATTGCCTAGACTAGGCCAATTCATAAAGCCAAAGAGGAGATCAGAGGTCACCAGGAACTGTGGGAAAGGAAAAATAGGGAGTTACTGCCTAATGAGTCCAGAGTTTCTATCTGTGGTAATGTAAAAGTTTTGGACACAGAGGTGATGCTTGCACAACATTGTGAATGTAGTTAGTGCCACAGAATTGTACACTTAAAATGGTTAAAATGACAAATTTGTTATATAAATGTTATCACAATAAAATTAAAACAAAATAAATGTGTAAATTAAAAAATTAATATTCCAGACCATAAAAACATGCAGCATGGAAATGACTGTCATTAGATAAGAACAGGTTAAACTTTTAATTTTATATGAAATGAACATAAAGATACCAATTTTAAACCCAGCACATGAAAATTTGATATCAATAGAAACAGGAAAGGAAAAAGATCTGCAATAAAGCATTAAAATAGAGTAAAAAGAAGAAATGAGAAGATAGAAAACAATGCAATCACAATTGTATTGAGTGTAAAAATGTTTCTCAATAGTAATTTTGAGATTACATTATTAAATAAAGTGTCAAAAATGAAATATTTGTTTTCTACAAGAGACATTTAAAAATAAAATGCAGAAGTGTTGAAAATGCAGAGGTGGAAAACACACAATTTAGAAATGATAAATGCTTGAAGTGATGGATCCTAAATATCTTGACTTTTATTACACATTATATACATGAAACAAAATATCACATATACCTTACAAAGTTGAACAAATATTATGTATCAAAATAAAATAAAATAAAATGTAACAAAATTAGGGAATTTACCAAGGGTGAAATAAAATTTAAAGCAAAAATTTTCATGGCAAACTTTTTTAATATCAGTAAAAATAACCATAAAAAAGTAATGACCATGAATAAAAATGCAATTATCAACATTGCTTCAAATTAAATGCAACTACAAATAAAATAATTATGAGCATAAAGAAATAAATCAGTAATTGTAAGTGTAGGTTTACTAATTTAACTATTGGAAATTGTCATATATTAAAGACGTAAACAAGTAATATCATTAATATTGTTCATCTAATGCATATACATTTAACTTTAACACATCAAACTCATTTAAAGAAAATCATTCACAAAAATGGATCATGTATTGGGCCAAATGAATCTTATCCTAGGCCAAATATCATACACATATGCTGTCTGACTCAAATAAAATAAGATATCAATACAAAAGTTACCTTTAAAAATCTCATTATTGTTAAATATCTCTTGCATTAAAAGGAAAGTGTAAAGAATATTTTGAAATTATTTGAATTGAATACAATATAAGAACCATGTGCCAACATTTGTGGAATACATATAAGTTGATATTTGGGCAGAAAACATACAATTTTGAATACCTTTACTAAAAAAAAAAAGAAAGATTGGACAAAGCTAGTGAAACAAACAACTTTTGCCTTCAAAAGTATGGCAAACCATTATCCTAAGCAAATTAACACAGAAACCGAAAACCAACTATCACGTGCTCTTGCTTATAAGCGGGAGCTAAACATTGGTTCACACAGACGTAAAAATGGGAACAATAGACACTGGCGACTAAGTGGAGAGGGAGGGATGGCAGGGGTCAGGGGGCAAGGACTGTCAAACTACCTATTGAGTACCATGCTCACTACCTGGGTGATGGGTTCAATTATACCCCAAACCTCAGCATCAAGGAATATAACCTACTAACAAACCTGCACCTGTACCCCTTAATCTAAAATAGAAGTTAAAATTATTTTTATAAATTAAAAAAATCTGTATAAAAATATATGAAAAACCAGATGTCTGGAAAAATCCTTCCAGTCAGGAAAACATAAAGATACTGAAAAAGAAGCCTTCAGAAATATTTTTAAAGTGTATGGTCCAGCTGTCAAGAGAGTTAAAAAAGAATCCTCAGATGCCAAAAATAGTAGGAAAGTGCAAATCATGAGAGGAAACAGTGCTGAAGATAGAGTTAGTCCCTAACTAACTATCTTGGAGTTGGATAGAGGAGTTTATCGAGGAGACGGCATTGTCACTCTCCTTTAAACCAGTGTGTAAGTATTTTTTAATTTTGTTATGTTTTTAAATTGATGTTCCGCAGTGAAAAGGTATATGCAAAACTATCCCTAAAGGCTGAGGGAGCTGAGAGGCCAAAGAAAGAGTCTAACAATTCCAGTTTCTCAAAAAGAAATATTTATTGATTTATTTATAATTTTTACTTCAACAACTTTTTGGGTACAAGTGTTTTTTTGTCACGTGGATGAGTTATATAGTGGTGAATTCTGAGATTTTAGTGCACCCATCACCTGAGTAGTGTAAATTGTACCTAATATGTAGCTTTTTTATCCCTATCCTCCCTTCCAGCCTCCCCCTTTTGAGTCTCTAAAGACCATGATATCACTCTGTATGTCTTTGTACACTCATAGCTTAGCTCCCGCTTATAACTGAAACATACAGTTTTGGTTTTCCAGCCATGTGTGTTACTTCACTTAGAATAATGGCCTCCAGGTCTATCCAAGTTGCTGCAAAAGATATATATATCTTATACATATATATATCTATCTTATACATATATATATCTTATACATATATATATCTTATACATATATATCTTATACATATATATACACACACAATCTTTTTTAAAAGAAAGCAATATTTAATAGGAACTTATAAACAGAGGCAATGTCTTGGGTGGCCGCAAGATATTGGATCCCCACAGCCGCCCTCCAGAAAATATCCTTTATATATTAAGCTTTTTGGGTAAAACATGTGCAGCTCTTCATACCTCAGGCTCTCTTGCTAAAACTTATGACCATTAAGAAGGTTAGATAAGCATCTTTATGAGGGGCTCTCTATGTCACAGGAATTATTTAAAGAACTTGCTGCAGAACACATTGGCATGCAGGAGTTAAACATCAGTCGTTGTGGTAGTTTCGCTTCAGGATGGCATCACTCTTTCTACGCAATAGGCTATTTTCCTACGTTATATAATAATTACTGTACACATTTATCAGGTACATAGTGATGTTTTGAAACATACAATGTATAGTGATTCAATAGGTTAATAAGAAGATCTATCATCTTAAACGTTTATCATTTCTTTGTTGGGAATATTAAAATCCTCCTTCCTGGTATTTAAAACTATGTATTATTGTTAGCTATAGTCATCCTATAGTCCTATAAAACACTAGAACGTATTCCTCCTATCTAGCTGTATTTTGTATACTTTTACAAACCCCTATCCTTCCCAGCCTCTGGTATACTCTGCTCTTCTTTTTACTTCTATGAGATCTTCTTTTTTTAGTTTCCTTATATGAGCGAGAATATGTGGCGCTTAACTTTTTGTTTCTGGCTTATTTCAGGTACCATAATGTCTTCCTTTCCATCCATGTTGTAGCAAATGACATTTCATTTTTTAAAAAAAACTGTTATGGCTAAACAGTATTCCATTGTGTACATATACAGCATTTTCTTCATCCATTCATAAACCAGTGCTTATGTTTTAAAAGACCATATGCATGTTGGATAAGATACCTGGTTTGGACTTCTCCAAAGTTAGAAGTGAGATTGGATACTATCAACAAGCCAAGATCCCTGAAAGGCAAACCCTTAATAGGCAAATGAGAAAATAATATACGTCCAACAAAAGGCTAAAGTAGGAATACTTAACACTCAGCCAGGGCAGTGAATTGAAAGGGGAATGTAAAGGGGAATGAAAGAGGAATGTTGCTCTAAGAATTTGTTATAATAGCCTTTCACTCATGTATATTTGGGGCTAGAAGTTGAATTCTACATAGCCTAAATCATTACAAACTGAAAAGTTTAGCTTAAAGAAGTTGATACTGGAAGTGATCCCAGTCAGCCTTTACAAAGTCAAACTTTTTCTGGCAGACGTCACTGTAAACCTGATCTCAAAGAATTCCCACAGATAATATTCTAATAAAACTGAGTTCAAAATAAAATCATAAAACATGTGAGGACCAAACCAATATAATTGAAAGTTAGTACAAACAACAAAGTTAGTAATCAGAGCTACAAAGGCAGCAGATATCAGAATTAGAGCTTCTGCAGTCTGTGCAAATGCTAAGGAAGGTTCTTTCTCTTTCCCTTGTTTCTCAAAGCAAGTATGACTAAACAGATATTTTTTCACAGGCCTCATCTTTTATTTAATTATATTTTTCATATGACATAAATTATTGCATAGAAAATTACATAATACTACAAGAAAATAAAAATTATCTATAATCCCAATATCTACAGGTAAAGAACCTAGACATCCAGTTTATGTATAAATCTAATCAAAACAGATTTTTTAAGTAACATGCTTATTATCTGTCATCTATCTATGTTGAGATCTATTTTACAACGTATGTAGAAACATGTTAACAATGGTTAGTTGAGTACTGCAAATGTGCATAATCAATTTCTTCTTTATATATTTTTGTGTTTGCTAATTTTAGATGAAACTGTATTTTATAGTACAAAATGGAGCTTTTGATGAAAGGAACAGGTATCAGTAAAAATAAGCTAATATTGGCAAAAATAGCAGAAGAAAACATAAATCAATATGAGATCATGTAAATTACCCACCTATTGCCCCAAACATTACAAACTAGTTACTTACTAAACAGCAAATTAAGAAAAAATCATAACACATATATGGCATAGTGTTAATGTATAAACTAGTCACAAAATTGGTAAGAAAAACTATAAGACATGAAAAAATAAGGAGAAAACAAATGAACAATTCCCAAAAAGTATATGCTATTGGTTAATCCCGTAGTAATGCTTAACTTCACTAGTAATCAAATATATGTGAAGTAAAGATATTTTTGCAATCAAAGTAGTGACATTAAAAATAATAACCTGTTTGATTTTGAGACTGCAACAGGACGGATATTTTTTCACTATTAACATATAGGTTTATTATATCTACAGAGCAATTTATCAATTCTGCAAGGAATTTATCAAGTTTCTCCCCATTGGAATTTTCCTTAAAAATAATTTACATACTGCTGTCTCTATATATTAGTCACACTGGACCTTTAGTTTCTGGACTACCCTCTACTCCTTCTTGCTTCAAGGCCTTGACATGATGGTTTCCCACCCCAAATTTCTCCTCTTTTGTCCACCATACTCCTACACATTATTAAGATATCAAATTAAACCATCTTAACCACAGTGACATCTTGTCCATTCTCATGACCAGGTCAGGTCAGCATCCTATAGTTTTTCTCTCCCAATATCATAAATATCATTGTTTAAGTTAGCTAGCTATTCATTTGTTTTCTATTAGAATATATTATCCATTATATTGGTATGTTGTTCACTACTATATCCTCAATACCTAGCCAAGTTAGCATTCAAATAGTATTCATATGAATGAATAGTATTCACTCTCTATAATACTCATATTATGTTTATTTCTAAAAGTGGAAAACTGAAGACAACTTAAACGTAAACGATATGATAAACACTAAGTATATTATTGTATATTTGCAAGGGGAGTTATTATGTACCCCTTAAAAAGATTATTACAAATAATTTTTGAAAACATGGGAAAATGAATAAATTCTACATAATCAACATAATCTATACAGAGAACATAGTTCTTTATACAATATAATTTCAAATGAGCCAACCTGGTATATTTGGTTGAAATAGGCAGCAGCATTAGGTTTTTTTTTCTGTTATCTCTTAACTATCTGTACATTCTAAACACAATAGTTTAAAAATATAAAAATATTGATTTGGAAACCTGACATAGAAAATTAATTAAGTCCTTATATTTGGAAATATTCCACTCATTAGGCCATAAGTATGAGATCAAGGCACTTTCGGAAGTTGCCAAAATAAGTCACTGAGTTTATAACCTGGGTTGGACATAAAAGTTAACTTTAAAACTCAAAATTTGAAACGTTTCTGTGAGTGCAAGTTTGTGTATATGAATGTGTGTGTGTGCATGTTTATGTGTGTGTGTGTATGAAGCCTGAAGACAGAACATTTCATATTTCACCCAGATTCTATCCTGTGTTCATCTTGTGTCCTTTGGTCAGGGACTGTGTTGAATCTTGCAGCCTTTGGATCGATGCTTCTAGAAAAATCTTTACTCAACTTTAATTGGTTCATAACCTGCCTTATCTCAAATCACTGATTTTGAAGAGCATATTTATTTCATCAGTGTTTTGATCCCATATCCCTCAACTAGACCCTTGTTTCCCTAACTATATTTCACAGAACTACATCTACTCCTCTGACTACTTGCTACACATCGTACACCAGTAAAAAAGGATGTTAGATTCTAAAAAATGAAAAAAAAACCTTTAAATAATTAAAATAGCATTCTGTAAAGAAGTACCACCATCTATCCTCACTTCCATGTTCTAAATGTCAAGATTGATCTAATTTTCTTTCTTTCTTTTTTTTCCTTTGGGTTTTCTGGGAGAATGGGTGTCCTTGCTTCAGAAAAGTCAGGTAAAGCACAACAAGAAGTTTTATTTTAGAGCTTATTCTCACCGTTATAATCTTTACAGCGAATAGTCTCCAGGCTGATGGTCTTCCTCTAGGAAGTTTGTAGGAAGAAGTTGCAGGGTGGGGAAGCTGACTAAGCCACTGAATTTGCATGTGAGATTAAAATCTCCTCAAAGACTGAGATTCCCTGAAACATAGTCAAAACAATTATGGAAGATTTCAGTGATCTTTAATGACACAGTTAAAAAGACAATGCAAGAATGCAGTGCAATGAAACAGATCTTCAAGGATTTATTCACTGGATTCCTTTCGTGGAACATCCATCTCTTCCCAAGGTGTCTATGTGACTCTGAGATTTTTCCTTTTCTCACAGCACTTCAATTGCTGCAGTACCCTCAAAGAGGCTTGCTTTAGCTTGCTGTTTCCTAGAATTAAGATAAATGAGTGACCCCAGGGATAGATGGCTGTGGTTGTCATTCCAAACATAAGCAGCAGTTTGTTTTCTCGCACAGTAAAACATGATATTTCTATGGCCATGCCTATAAAATACAAGATAAAGAGGATGATGAAAGATATCAAAACTTTCATTGCCTTCACATGAGCTTCTGTGTTGGAGTCTCTCAATCCTGTCACATTCGATTGCATCTGCCTGTTGTGTCTCCAAAGGGAAATGATTAAAAAAATACATGTAATTAGGGATAGTGTAAAGAAGAAAATGACTCCCAGATTTAGCAAAATCTGTTTAATAAAGTATTCACTTTTATACATGTTGAGATCCCAGACTGTGTCATTCTTCGTTTTATAATCATTAAGAATCTTCGCAATGTATGCAAAATTAAGTAACGATGAAATAAGTAAGAATACTATCATGAAGGGAAGAACCATATTTGTTCTGCTCTTCAACCAGAGAAATATGTAGTTGGAAAAATTTGCTATCTTCAGGAAATAGAAGATGCTGAGGCTGGTGGCAAACCACATACTTGATTGATTACCAATTACCCAAAAGTAACTAATATATTCAATTAGGTTACCGGAGGCATATATATTTGGAGAGAATATCTGTATAAATCCATCTGTAATTATTATCCATATCAGAAAAATTCTTGAAATAGCTAAGCCGGTGAGAATAAAGCCAATCGTAGATAACTTATTCTTGGCACAGTCAATGCAGTTTACAAGTCCAATAAATCCATTCCCCAAAACCCCAAACACTGACTCACTAACTACAACAAAAATGAAGATGCCTTCCACTACACGTAGCATATCTGCTAATTCTTAATATTGCTTCTGTTACATCTATCTTAGATTACCTGCTGCAGAATGAGGCATATATTGGCTGCTCGACGGAAGTGTGACTTTCTTCTCTTTCATTATATAAAGACTTGAAATTGCCCCAGTAATGGCTTGAGATGGAATCAGAAATTTCTTAATGAAGACCTTTCCAAATATGTCTACAAAACATAGCTAGTCTGGAGAATGTATGTTCAGACTGAATGCCTATCTATAATTTGTTAAAATGCAAATGAAAGTTTCTGTTTCATGGATTTTACATGTCCTCCTGAGACTATTTTGCATTTAATAAATTGAATTGTGGAGGAGGAGTGCCAAACATATACCTATAGAATGTAATGCAAAACAGAAACAAAAATTTTGACTTTATCTTTTAAAATATCAAATCATTATTTATGTCATTTATAATCAATTTATATATGTACAGAAAATACTATATAGAAATGAAAAACAAATTTAGCCACTGTAGATACTTACTCTAAATGATCGATTTAATTTTTAATTAAAATTTAAGCTCAACTCTAGGTATGACAAGTTTCACAAATATGTCACAAATCTGTTGCTGTTGTTTTATACTTATGGTTATTACACCCTTGAATGCAGAAGATTATGTTGACTACCCTTGACATGAAAGGCTCTTAGGAATAATCTCTTCATTTAACACATTACTGTTTGCTGGCACCCATTCATTTATCCAACAAGTATTTACTGAATGTCTAGATACAACAAGCTCTCTTTTGATCTTTGAGGGAATATAGTGGTAGACAGAATTTCAAAACTTGTGTGATTTATGGAGTGTATATTCTAATGAGGGAGGTGGGAAACAATTAAGTAAATCAACATACTGATCTAAGAATTAAAAGTGAAATTAAAAGTGAAATCTAACATTTATTGAGCTTTTATTATATTCCTAGCGCTATGTTAAGTATCTTTTTCTCATCTTAATTTCACAAGCCTTCAATCCTTTAAAAGAGGGGCTATTTTTGTATTTACATTAAATATGAATAAACTAAGCTTTGGAGAAAAGAAGACCTTCTCTCACTTATCCTGGCATGACTACCATAAATAAAATTGCACAATGATTTCAAAATGAAGTTAAATTAAGCTTAGGAATAGACTACAAATGATAGCAAAACAAAACAAACCAACCAAAAGCAAGTAGAAAACTTAAATTCTCATGGGCTGCACATACTGAAATTGACAGATAAGAATATGTATAGATAAATTAGCTAATGTATACACTGTTTACAAAAAACAAGATGCAATTTCAGAGAAGAGCAGCAAGAGACTGTTAGAAAGAAATTGGAACATTTGGGGAAAAAACTTCTAGAAATGGAGAATATAATTATATAAAATGTAAATGAACTAAATACTCCAAGTAAAAAATTAATAGTAACAAAGAAGAATTTAAAACTCTGACTGTATACTGCTTACAAGAAACACAATTTAAATATAGAAAAGGAAAACTTTAAAGTAAAATTATGGAAAAATAAGCCATGCAAACATCATCCAAAAGAAATCTGGCATAATTATAACAATATTCTATAAAGCAGACTTTAAGGTAAGAAGCAGCATTAGAGAAGAAATGGGGAGTGTACTTTATAGTGATAAAAATGCTCAAATCTACAGAAAGGTAGGGTAATCCCAAAAATTTATGAACCAAATAATCTACCAAACATTTACAGAAAAGGAAAAATAAGACAAATCTACAATCACAATGAAAGACTGTAAAATACATAACTCAATAACTCATCTTAGAAACACCAAAAATCAATAGATGGAAAATACATGAAAAAACAATTGACAAACTTGTGTTCAACGGTAAAATAATTCATATTCTTTTCAAGTGCACATAGACTATTTTTACCAAGACTGATCATGAATCCAAAAGAATATCTCACAAGTGTTGAATGTTCTCTGAATTCAAAGGAATAAAATGAAGTTCAATAATAAAAAGATAACTAGAGAAAGAAACAATTTACTAAGACAAAAAACCTGTAAATACTCTTGAGTCAAAGAAGAAATAACAAAAATTACAAAAATATTTTTAAGTAAATAATACAGGTTGTGTATCCCTTATCTGAAATGTGTGAGACCAGAGAGCTTTGGATTTCGGATTTTTTTTTCTTTTTTTTTAAGTTTTGGAACATTTGCATCATACTGATTAAGCATCTCGAATTCAAAAATTTGAAATCCAAAATGTTCCAATGAGCATATCCTTTGAGCGTCATGTCAGCGCTCAAAGAGTTTCAGATTTTGGAGCATTTCAAATTTCAGATTTTTGGATTAGGGATACTCAACGTGTAATAAAGAAATGACCTATTAAAATTTACATAATCCAATTAAAGCCATTCTTTGAAGGAAATTTGTAGCCTTGAATGCATCTTTTAGAAAGGCAGGGTAAAAACAGATGAATTTTGTTTTCATCTCAAGAAGCTAGAAAGCTAAGAGTGAAAGAAAATAGAAGTCAAGAAATTATAGTAACAGCAGAAATCACCGATAGAAAAGAATTAGGTACAGTAATATACTAATGTTGGTCAAAAGAAAATACAAATTACTACAGTCCTTAGAGATATCAGAAATATGGCCTGGGTGTGGTAGCTAATGCCTGTCATTTCAGCACTTTGGGAGGCCCAGGTGTGAGAATCACTTGAGTCCAGGAGTTTGAGACCAGCCTGGGAAACATAGCAAGACCTTATCTCTACTAAAAAAAATAAATAAATAAAAATAATTTAGCAGGGCATGGTGGTGTGCACCTGTAGTCCCAGCTACTTGGGAGGCCGAGCAGGAGGATTGCCTGAGCCCAGGAGTTTGAACTTGCAGTGAGCTATAATTGGGCCACTGCACTCCAGCCTGGGTGACAGAGTGAGACCTCATCTCTCTCTCTCTCTTTCTCTGTCTCTCTCTCTCTCTCTCTATACATACATATATATACATATATATATATACATATACATATATATATATATATAATACTATATAATATAGTTACATATCCTTGTATATAATCTTTTATTATAAGACAATACTGTGAACAACTTTATACAAAATTTCATCAAGAATACTTATAAGACTATTACAGGCTAATATAGCCTGAACATAGATGCAAAAATTCCAAACAAAATAGAGTCCAGCGATATATAAAAGAATAATTCATTATAACAAATGGAGTTTTAAAAGCCAATTGTGAGATTAAAATGAAATAATTGAAGATACAGTCAATTAACACAAAAGAAAGCCAGAAAAAGGACAGAGGGACAAAAATAAGTGAGATAAATGAAAAACATTGAGCAAAATGCAAGACTTACAGCCAACCATACTGATAATTACATTAAACATGATTTGACTAAACACTCTGATGAAAAGATAGAGATCATCAGAATGAATAAATGAAAGCACAATTAAATGTTATGCCTAGAAGATAAAACATTAAACATAAAGGCACAGATAGATTGAATGTAAAGGAAAGAAAAAGCTATACTATGGAATTTGTAACCATAGAAAGCAGGACTGGTTCTATTCTCAAAGTGGCTATATTATCAAGACAAGTAGTAGAAAAATAGAGGGAAGTTGTATAATGATAAAATATTCAATTTATCAAAAATACTTAACAATCCTGAAGGTGTATCAGACTAATAATTGTGACTCAAAATAAATAAAGCAAAATTAACAGAACTAAAGCAAGTGATAGGCATAGCAAAGATTTAAAAACCCCTTTGCTGTGATCTGCATGTGTCTCCTCCAAAGTCTATATGTTGAAACTTAATTGCCAGTGTGCCAGTATTAAGAGATGGTTCCTTTAGGAGGTAATGAGGGCAGACCTCTCATGAATGAGATTAATGACCATTTTGATGTGCATTCTAGGTATGTTAACTCTACATGCCTTAGATTGTGCAATAGTAACTGGGCTCTTATGAAAGGGTTTTAACAACTTCCACAAGTTCTAGACTAATTTCTGCAGTTACATCAGCAGCAAAAATATTCACAAAAACAATGGTGCCACTGCATTTCAGCCTGGGCGACAGAGTGAGACTCCATCTCAAAACAAACAAACAACAAACAAAAAACATAAAGTAACTGGCTAAATCCATATTATTACAGAGACAAGATTGTTACCTAGAGGAAATAAGTGGTTTTCATTCTATTTTGCTTACTTCTGTTAAATTTCTAACATCCACCTTCTGTAGATCTGAATGAGTGGATTACAACTTATTCACACCTCTTTTTTATATATAGGTGATTATTTTCTCTTTAAAATATTTTAAAAACTATTTTAGAGGTCAGTCCTGGCCCAGGAAGAATTTATTTATTTTATTTTATTTATTTATTTATTTATTTATTTATTTATTTATTTATTTATTTATTTATTTTTGAGACAGAGTCTCTCTCTGTCGCCCAGGCTGGAATGCAGTGGCGCGATCTCGGCTCACTGCAAGCTACACCTCCTGAGTTCACGCCATTCTCCTGCCTCAGCCTCCCCAGTAGCTGGAACTATGGGCACCCGCCACCACGCCTGGCTAATTTTTTGTATTTTTAGTAGAGACGGGGTTTCACCGTGCTAGCCAGGATGGTCTCGATCTTCTGACCTCGTTATCCGCCCACCTCGGCCTCCCAAAGTGCTGGGATTACAGGCCTGAGCCCGCACCCGGCCAGGCCCAGGAAGAATTTAAATGGTACTTACTCAGTGACACAGGACATATACAAAAAAAGAGTACGATGAAGCAAGAAAGATTACACCAAGACTTCTTGTTGACTTCTCTCTGAGGCCTACCTGTGTAGCTAAGAGTGCCCGTCCTTTCAGGCCACATTTCAGGTGCCAGAGAATCCCCAAGAAAGTTTTCTTCATTTGGCCGTATCCAAAAATCACAACATATGAGTGACCCAAAGAATACTGACTTCATATCATAAACCAGATATCACAACCAGTTTGTTCTGTAGCAAAAAATACCCCTGTAAATGTCAAGAAAAGGGCAAATTTTTATAGAGCAACAAGACAAAAAAGGAAAACCGTTTTCTTGGCTCTGAAATGGGCCCGTATACTGGGGTTCTGCAATCCCTGAAATTGAACCTAATGTGTTTCATGTGTCTTCACGAAGAAAGGAGTAACAACAAAAAGAAAATCGAAGAAATAGAGAAAGAAGAGAGAGATCCAATAAAGAAGATTATTATATTATTAACATTTTTATTATTACTTACATTGAGTAATCCAGTCATATGTCTTTCATATTTTTTTGGACACGATACCAGAAGACATCAAAAGTGTACGTCAAAGGAAAGTTGGTAAACAGAAAAGGCAGATACCAGTGGAAGTATGAAAGCTACCTTGTTAATTCTCCATTTTAGCCAAAAGTAAAAGAGATAGGAGAAATTGACGATCTTTAGGAAATAAAAGACAGCAAGACAAGTAGCAAATCAAGTGCACAAGTGGTTGGCCAGTCTCCGGACAATGGTAAGGATATGGTTTCTTTCCCTAGCATCAGGGATTTTCTAATAGAAGAATATTGATTCTGGCTAAGGCCAAACTAGTAAGAATGAAGCCAACCATGCATAACTTCTGATTTCTCATCCAGGCAATGCAATCTGTGAGTCCAATGAATTAATTTCCTACATTCCTTTTATAAATCCCCTACCTATTACAGTCATGAAAACCTCCAATATATTCAACATGGCTACAAAGCGAAAATTCTGATCTGCAGTTTGTTGTGTGACTAATTTTCAGATGACTTACTGGATAATAACATAGATCTTATGTTTGATTGTGCAGTGTTTTTATTTTATCATGGCTTTTCTTTTTAGCTATAAAGTTTAGCAAACTGCAGTAAGACAGTGAAATCACTCTCTGTAACATTCATTGAAAATTTCTAACTACCTCTGCTAAGAATTTCCAGTCTTGGTCCAGCTGTCAGCTACAAACTGTAAATTTCTTTATAGAAAGATGATCACACTCTGGGGACTGTTGTGGGGTGGGGGGAGGGGGAGGGATAGCATCGGGAGATATACCTAATGCTAGATGACGAGTTAGTGGGTGCAGTGCACCAGCATGGCACATGTATACATATGTAACTAACCTGCACAATGTGCACATGTACCCTAAAACTTAAAGTATAATTTAAAAAATTAAATAAAAATAAAAAAATAAAAACAAAATTAAAAAAAAAGAAAGATGATTGACAAACCAAATTATCATTTGCTAACATGTAAATAAAGACACAGACTAATTTTCATTGTTTTGAATAAAATTAGTTCTCCTCTTCCAATGAAGTGTTTCATTTGATTTACAAATCTGAAGTTTGAAACAGAAACCTTTCACCACATTAAAATTATTCAACATGTAGGGAAAACCAGCAATCCTTATGCTAATTAATTATAATGCAGTCACAGTGTAGATTGCTACATTACAAAGTAAAATACAGAGCTTGAAATTTTCAAGAAACTTGGTGGGCAATATATGAATCTAATATGAGTATCATAATTATCAGGAAAACTTCCCCCACCGCTCCCCACCCCCCACTATAAAGATGCAGGCCTTTCAAATAATCTGTCAGTAGCATTTTAAACACATTTTTAAAAATGATGTCTTTCAGTGAAACATAAGCACCCCAAACTAAACATGGAAAAAGTGAACTTCTTTTGTTTCCTCAAAAACAAGATTCTAGCACTTTGGGAGGCTGAGGCAGGCGGATTGCTTGGGCCCAGGAGTTTGAGACCAGCTTGGGCAACGTAGCAAAACCCCGACTCTACCAAAAATACAAAAATTAGCTAGGTTAGGTGTGTTGGCACACGCCTCTGATCCCAGATACACAGGAGGTGGAGGTGGGAGGATCACCTGAGCCCAGGGAGGTTGAGGCTGTAGTGAGCCACGAAAAAAAAAATGTTTTTTTTGAGATATAAGAGTCTTCAAATATTTCCACAGAACTTTGTTAAGGTTACATTGTCTTGAGGGGAAAATGCTTAAAAAGTCATGAATATACTTAGGATGATCTGTTATGTGTATATCCATATACACAGATATAGGTACATATATGGCTACATATACATAAACATATACATGTATACAAATACACACAGACACATCTATTTATACACACATTGTACTGTGTTTTGTCCTCTACTTCTCTGTATTTTAGCTTGTCTGGTTTTTGTTACTTGGATTGCTTCTTTTTTTGCATTATTTTATTATTTTTAATAAACGCAATAATTGTACATATTTATGTGATACAGTGTGATATGTGAATACATTTATACAATGTGTAATGATCAAATCAAGGCAATTAGCATATCCGTTTCTCAAATATTTAACATTTCTTCGTGTTGGGCACATTCAAAATTTGTTTTTCTAGCTCTTGTAAAATATACAATAAATTGTTGTAATTGTAGTCACCCTACTGTGCTATAGAACACTAGAACTTGTTCCTTCTACCTGGCTATACTTTTGTATTCATTAACCAACCTTTGGCTATCTCCCTCTCCCTTCTCCCCTATCACATCTCTAGGAACCATTATTCTGCTTCCTACTTCTACGGAATCAACTTTATTAGCTTCCACATATGTGTGAACATGTCATGTTTGTCTTTCTGTATCTGGCTTATTTCACTTAACAGATGTTCTCCAGTCTCATGGATGCTTCCATAAATGACCAAATTTCCTTCTTTTAATGGCTAAATAGTATTCCATTCATTATGTGTATATATCATGTTTTCTAATCCATTCAAATGTTAATGGACACTTAGGTTGATTTCATGTCTCGGCTATTATGAATGGTGTTGCAAAACACATGGGAGTGCAGATATCACTTCGACATATTGATTTCCTTTCCTTTGGATACATACCCAGTGGTGGGATTGCTGAATCATATGGTAGTTATATTTTTAGTTTTTAAGAACTTCCATTCTGTTCTCCATAATGACTAAACTAATTTATATTTGTACCAACAGTGTGTAAAACTTCCTCCTCCACATCCTCACAAGCATTTGTGTTTTTTTGTCTTTTTGAAAATAGCCATTATAACTAGAATAAAATAATATCTCATTGAGGTTTTTATTTGCATTTCTCTGATGATTAGTTATATTGAGCACCTTTTTATATACCTATTGGCCATTTGTATGTCTTCTTTTGAGAGATATCTATACAGTTAATTTGCCCATGTTTTAATCTAATTATTTGTGTTTTTGACTGAGTTCCTTCTATAGTCTGGATATGAATTCCTTGATAAATGAATAGTTTTCAAATATTTTCTCTTATTCTAGAGGTTGTATCGTCAGTCTGTCGATTGTATATTTGTGTATGCTTTTATCAAATCAACATAATGTAAACTAAATGAGATAAAGCTAAAATGGTCATCGCTTGCTTAACATAAAATGCATTATTCATCTAATTTTATTGTTACTATTATATAATACTATAATTTTAATTTTGCCATTGATTATATAGTTGCAATTCTGATGGAAACAGTGAAATCACTTTCTTTTAACTTATTTCAGGCAGATAATTTCATCAATGAGGCTCAATGATCTATCACCAAACATAATAAAAGAAGTTGGATTAAATGAAAGGGATGTGTGCTGAGTTATTTGTTGTCTTCATTTTTGAGAGAATTACCAATCAATTCAGGTGTGTTTATGAGGATTTAGATTTCCTTATATTCATGTAACACCGAAGGTTCCTCAGGACACAGAGAGAAGCCTGTTTCAGTTTGCTGTTCCATAAAATCAGAAAAAAATGAATGACTGAATAGATAGAAAAATGCTAACTCAAGAGCAAAAATCTGTGCCACAATGCTATCTAGATTAAAATAATTTCGCTTTATAATCGTATTGCTCAAATAGTATATAATAAAGAGGAGCAGGAATGAAATTATAGATATTAGGGGATGTCAAACTTATCCTTGCATTCTTATTGTACAAAATTTCCTCAGTTTACATTTAAGCCCACATGTAAAATTACAGCAGAATATTCTGGAAATTGCCCAACAGGTGAGAATAAAATCTATCAGGGAGAGTTTCCAGCGCCTGATCCAATCAATGCAGTGAACCAGCACCATAACTCTACTTCTCTGAATCCCCATTATGAAATCTATAGCAGAAATCATTGTAAGCATATTCTTCAACATGTTTGCCATGCTTGATTATGGGATCTCTGCTTTCTGTACACCACTGATTTATAAATAAGATGTTATAAATTTGTGTATCCAAAGCTTTAGTGTTCAATATGTTTCTTTATCCTGTGCTGTTGATTGACACTGGAAAAGAATGGAATGCCTCCAGTGTGCTCCCAGACAAAGTCCTAGTTGTCTTTGAAAAACGAAAACTACCTTTATTTTTCTCAGAATTTCAGCTAGTGATTTTCAAGGCAGATATTATATTACCTGCTGTTGTGACACTGTTTATAATTTCCTTGTAAAGCTATCAACTAGGATTTGAATTCTGATTTGTTAAAATACAAAATAGAGATTTTAAAATATTTTTTGCATCTTTTTTTCCTTAAGATTTAAATGTTTTTTATTCATTCACCTTAGTTATAAGCTAGAAACATTAAAATATGGTGTCTTCATGGATCTCCTGAGAAGCAAGGCAGTCATTGGGATAAATGCCTATATGAGAAAGCAAGGAGAGAGCGAAAGGTGAACAGAGCTATTGTACTAGGATATAACTTTGACCCCTGTGAAGGAGAGAGAGAGGGAAAGAAGGAAGGTCTTAGGCAGCAGTGCAGTCCTGAGAACATTTCAAGATGTCCAGTAGGGAGTTATCAAGCCCAAGGTGCAAATTAGAGGAGTCCTGAGTCTCCCAGGAGCAGGCCTGACCATTGAATCTGCCCCCTTCTCTGTCTTTGGCTGAAAGCGGCTCATGGAAGTGAATGGGGTGATAGATTTCATAGCATAGGTGCCATGCTTGTTAGCTGTTGGGGAAATACGATTAAAAACAAAGTCTCCTCCCAACCCAGAAAGTCTCTCCACAAATGTAATAGAGAAAGAAAATAGTTTTCTTATTAAATAAATATTAAACCAGAATCTGATATACATTACAGGCAACCTACTAAGAGACTGCAAAGACAGAAAGAGATCTCACCCGTTTTTATATAGCCAATATATGCATATGACCCAATATATACATTTTCTCAAGTTAAGTGATAACTAATCCCCAAGAGAGAGGACTTGGCAGCATTATTTATTACGCATAGTTTATCTTAAATTTACCTGGAAATTGGGGTGGCCATCTGTGTTAGTTAACAGACTTTAAACAAAGGACAAATAAACACAGATCTTTATGTAGGAGATAGTCTTGCCATTTGGAGCCTGGTGGCCATTGAAGTTAGGCTCCTGCTCCCAGCAGAAACTGAGAGATAAGGGTGCTTATTTGTAAAAGAGATGATTAAGCTTCTTTATTTTTAGTGTGTATTTGCCCTTCTGCAGCTAATTGTGCTCCCTCAGGACAGAGATTTCAGAGGCACATTCCTATCACATGCCACAAATGTCTAAAATGACAGTTTATCTTCTTACTCACCTCGCCAATACATATTATGTATAAAGTACCCAAGGTTTAAGTAAATACACAAAATCTGCTTTCTGATACTATATCAGGATCGCTTAGAGTCTGTGGCAGTTTTGAAACATGGCTGCAAACTCTTTGATCCTCTTCCTTTTGAGGCCTAGGGTCTGCAGACCTTCCTCTTAAAACTGAGTGGGCTTGTAACTGCTTTAAACAATGACGTGTGGTGGAAACGACATCATATACTTTCTAAGGCTATCAAGAAAAACTGTATGGCTTTTCCGTTACTCACTGGAAAGTTTCCTCTTACAATCCTGAACCACTTCATAAGAAGTCTGACAAAGTTGAGACCAGCATGCTGTGAGGAAGCTCAAGCCACACGAGGAGGCCACATGTAGGCAATATAGTCAACCATTTCAAATGAGCCCGTACTTCTGATCATCCAAGTCCAGTGATAGACATGAGAGTAAAGGTCTGCTTGGTTATTGCAGCCCCTGCCACTTGAGTCATAGTCCGCTGTCTACATATTCTAAGGTGAAGGTCTAGACATTTTGAAGAAGAGACAAGCCTTCTCATAGTGCCCTGTCTGAATTACTGACCCACAGAATCTGGAAGCATAATAAAGTACTGTTGTTTTACACCCACTAGGGCCTATTGGGGTGGGGGTTGGGGGAGGAGGAACATCAGGAAGAATAGCTAGTAGATGTTGGGCTTAATACCTAGGTGATGGGCTGATCTGTGCATCAGACCACCATGGCACATGTTTACCAATGTAACCGCACATTCTGCACATGTACTTCAGAACTTAAAAGTTGAAGAAAAAATACACAAAATAAAATAAAATAAAATATTGTTGTTTTGTATCTCTGAGTTTTGGACTCAGGGTGTTTTAAAGATCAATGCATAACTAAAATAGAATTATTTAGCACATACATAAGGAAAGTCTTTTACTAGCTTAGTTTTTATTTTCTTAGCATCATTATTTATAGTAGCCAAAAGATAGAAAAAAACCCAAATGTTCATCAATGAATAAATAAATAGACAAAAGGTGGTTTAGTCATGTAATCAAATATTATTTAACTATTAAAGGGAATAAAGTACTGATACGTACAACATGTATGAGTCTTGAAATTATGCTAAGTAAAAGAAACCAATCACAAAAGATCCCATATTATATAATGCCATTCAGTCGAAAGTCCAGAATAGGAAAATATACAGATGCAGGAAGAAGATTAATAGATGCTTAGGCTGGGGTGGGGAGAAAGGTGGGATGATGGGGGAATAGGGAGGTGATATCTAATGGATATGGGGTTTCTTTTTGAAGTGATAAAATGTTCTACAATTGACAGTGGTGATGGTTGCACATGTCTGTGGAATATATTAAAAATCATTTAATTGAACACTAAATGAGTGAATTGTATATTATGTGAACTATATCTCAATTAAAGCATTTAAGGCAAAAACAAGTTACATATGACATTTTTCCTTATAGAATATGTAACATCTGTGTATATTTTTCATAATTTTATTATACCTTGTAGTAACACTATTAGCTCAGTCATCTTTAATTCTGGTGAGGTATAAATAAAATACCAAAAGCTTTACATCATTTCACTTTTGTTGACTATTACTTATTGAGAAACTTTTTACTCTTTGGATGAGACATGATAGGATAGGCTATGCTGTAGCATCTACAATGTAAGTTTCATGAAAGGTTCATTTCTCGGTTCACATTACATGACTAATTGAATTTAAAAATGCAGAGTGAGGTGAGGATAGTTTTCATGTAGTCTCTCAGGAATACAAGCTAGTGGAGTATCTAACACTAAACATGTGTCTTTCAAGTCCCTCACTTAGGAAGAAAAGAGACACGAAGAGCCTTCTTTTACATATGAATATTCAACTGTTCCAAAATGATTAGTTGAAAAGATAATCCTAATCTTTTTTTTTCAGTCTTTAAGTGCTCTTTTCTTTTATTCTCAGCCCCCTTTATTGTTATTATTATTTTCATTTCATTATTATTATACTTTAAGTTCTAGGGTACATGTGCACAACGTGCAGGTTTGTTACATATGTATACATGTGCCATGTTGGTGTGCTGCACCCATTAACTCGTCAGATTTTATGTTTCTTTATCCTGGCTTGATAAAACCCATTGTCTCAGGACTTTTCTTCTAAATAGAAAAGTAGTCTGAAGGCTCGTCCTGATTCATTTTAAGACTGTAGTATTTCTCTTCTGCCAGTTAATATGTTTTCACTTTTTCTATTTTCTTTTTATATCCAATACATTTCAGTATGAAATTTTGTGATGGTCCACTAGTCTGATGTGCACAATTTAGCCAGGAATAAATATTAGTGGATTCAAAATAGGCACTCAAACTATCTGTCCAGATTTTTTAAGTGTTGTTGGTTTTTTTCTTTCTTTTTTTTTTTTTTTCAAATTTCAACTGATGAATGAAAGTAGCTGCCTAGAGAATAATGAGGTGGGTGCCAAACCTGGGTTCATTGAAGGCGTTATAGCACCTGTGCCATGCTATAACTTAGATAAGTGACCTTATCTAAGCCCATGGCTTCAAATGCCACTGAAACTGGTGAATTTATCTTTTAGGAATGGAAGGGCTATAGAGATATTTGATGAAAGAAAACTAAGAGGATTTGTCACCAGAACATCTACCTTTTAAAAGGGGGCTAAAGAAAATTCTCTAGCCAAGAAAAATAAAAAAGAAAGTTTCAAACAAAAAGATTAAAGAAAACACAATGGAAAGGAAGAATGAATAAATTCATCTTCCTTTTCTTCTTCAGTTTGGTAAATGTATTTGACAGTTGAAGTTACAATTATGACATTATCAGCTGTGATTGTAAACTTGATTTCAGTAACATTTGAAGCCATGGGCTTAGACAAGGTCACTTAGGAATAGTGTAGATATCAGGACAAGTAAGACCTCTGAGACAGCCATGTGGGAACTCGACATAGCAAGCAAGCGATGGGGAGCCCCACCCAGTGACTGTCTTCACTCTAGCAGCTCTCAGTGAAGGCTTCTGTATTAGGCCATTCTTGTGTTGCCATAAAGAAATAGAGGGGCCCTGCATGGTGGCTCACACCTGTAATCCCAGCACTTTGAGAGGCAGAGGCGGGCGGATCACGAAGTCAGGAGATTGAGACCATCCTGGCCAACACGGTGAAACCCTGTCTCTACTAAAAATACAAAAAATTAGCCGGGCGTGGTGGCGGGTGCCTGTAGTCCCACCTACTCAGCAGGCAGAGGCAGGAGAATCACTTGAAGCCGGGAGGTGGAGGTTGCAGTGAGCCAAGATCGCGCCACTGCACTCCAGCCTGATGACAGAGCGAGACTCCATCTCAAAAAAAATAAAAAAATAAAAAATAAAGGTAATTAATAAAAGAGATTTAATTAGCTCATAGTTCTGCAGGGTGTACAGGCATGGCACTAGTATCTGATTAGCTTCTGATGAGGCCTCTGGAAGCTTACAATCATGGCAAGAGGCAAAGGGGGAGGAGGCGTGTCACATGGTGAGAGTGGGAGCAAGTAGAGGAGGCGCCACACACATTCAAACAACCAGATCTTGCATGAACTCAGAGCAAGAACTCACTAATCACCGAGAGAATGGTGTTAAACCAGGAGTGTCCAATCTTTTGGCTTCCCTAGGCCACGCCGGAAGAAAAAGAATTGTCTTGGGCCATACAAAAAAATATACTAACGATGGGTGATGAGCTAAAACAAATTGCCAAAAAACTCAATGTTTTAAGAAAGTTTATGAATTTGTATTGGGTCATATTCAAAGCCATTCTGGGCTGCATGCAGAATGCTGGCCATGTGTTGGACAAGCTTCTGCTACACCATTCATGAGGAATCTGCCCCATGATCCAATCACCTCCTACCAGGTGCTATCACAACATCGAGAATCACATTTCAACATGAGGTTTTCAGGGGACAAACATCCAAACCATATCAGCTTCCCTGTGCCAAGCATGGATGGAGCTGAGAGCTTTATATGGGTTACTTACAAAATATACATGTTTTATACAATAATATTAATAGTACAAAATAATTACTTTGTACCAAAAATTAATTGTACAAAATATTAAAATATTTAACATAACATTTGTACAATGTATATAAAAATATAAATATCCCATAAAATTTGATAATAGCATATGCTATTTTATTTCTATAATATAGACACTCTTCAATACTCAGCAACTTTGTTCACATTAGACCACTTTTATTTGTAATTATTGATATGTTGGGTCACAAACCTGCCATTTTACTTTATGATTTCTGCTTATCCGTTTTTTTTTCTTTTTTTGTAATTGTTGTTTTGTACGCCTTGCTTTCATGTGTGTTACTTTAATTTTCTTTTTTTAGAATTCCATTGAGGTTTATCTGTGGTATTTTTGAGTATATCTCTGTGTGCAGACATCTTAGTGGATGCTGTAGGTTTTACAGCACATGTAATAACTTATCATGGTTTAATAGGGTCAAAATTTTAGTACTTTGAAAGATGTACGGAAACCTTATTCCTTGATTCCCTATATGTCTCTTTACCCTCCTCTGTTCCTTATATAGTTGTCTTAAATATTTACCTATATACACTTAAAATCGCATCTGATAATGTCATAATTTTAACTTCAGCTGTCAAATAAATTTACCAAACTGAAGAGGAAAAGGAAGATGAAGTTATTCATTTTTTCCCTTTCCATTGTGTTTTCTTTAATTTTGGTGTTTTAAAGTTTCTTTTTTAATCTTTTTTCTTTTTTTTTTTCCTGGATAGAGAATTTTCTTGAGCCCCTTTTTAAAAGGTAGACCTTCTGGTGACAAATCCTCTCAGCTTTCTTTCATCAAATGTCTTTATAGCCCTTCCATTCCTAAAAGACAAATATACCAGATATAAAAACCAGAATTGAAAGTTATTTTATTTCATCACATAGACAGTGTTGTGCCACTTTTCTATGGCTTTCATCTATTTCTGATGTTTCCTGCTTCCATTTGTATTGTTTTCTCTCCTATAGATGAGCTATTTCCTCTAGCTGCTTTCAAAATTTGTTCTTTCTTTTAATTTTCAGATATTTTACCATGGTATACCTTAGTTTGGATTCTTTGTGTTTGTCTTGGTTAGTTTTATGCACTGAAAGTTTGTGTCCCCTCAAAATTCATATGTAGACATCCTAAATTCAATGTGATGTTATTTGGAGGTTAGGCCTTTGGGAGGTAATTAGGGTTAGATTAAGTCATGAGGGTGGGGCCCTCATGTTGAGATCAGAGGCCTTATAAAAAAAAAAAAGAGAGAGAGAGAGGGAGAAGGAGACAAGAGATATCTTTTTCTTTTCTCCAACATGTGAGGATACAATGAGATGATGTCCATCTATAGCCAAAAAATGTCTTCAGCAGAACTCATCTGTGCTGGCATTCTGATCACGGTCTTCCAGCCTCCAGTATTGTGAGCAACACATTTTTGTTTTTATAAACCACCCATTCTATGGTATTCTGATACAGTAGCCTAAAATGGCTAAGAGATTTTGGGTTTGCTTGAATTTAGGAATCTGTGGGTTTTTGCCTATTGCCAAATTAAGGAAGTTTTCAGTCTTTGAGACCTTTCTCAAAGTTGCCCATTTCTTCTCTCCTTCTGGGACTCTGATAACACAAAAATTAGGCCTTCAGTTATAATACTACAGGTCCCTGAGGCTGTGTTTATAGTTTTTTCCTGCTTACCTTCATGAATTTTTTATGTGGTTATTGTAAGTTTCAGTTCTAAAATGTCCATTCAGTTCTTTCATATATTTTAATTTTTTGGCTGAGATAATTTTTAAATTTGTTTCATATATGTTTGTAAGCAATATACTGGAAGCATTTTTATGATGACTGCTTTAAAATATTTTCTGAATAATTCCAACATCTTTGTCATTTTTGTTCTGGAATCTTCTAATTACCTTTTACATTCAAGTTGAGATTTTTCCTGGTTCTTTGTATACCAAATGATTTCTAAATGAACCAGGACATTTTAGGCATTATGAGACTCTAGAACTTATTTACCTTTTCTGTCTTAGCTAGCTTCCTCAGACACTACTCCAGCAAGGCAAGGGAGTGAGGGAGGGACACTGCATTACTGCCAGGTGATGATAGAAATAAAGGTTTCCTCTCAATCTCTGTTGACACCTAGGCAGGCGGAGGTTCCTCATTACTGCTGGCTGGAGGGTGGATTCTGGGTCACCACTGGGCCTCCACTGATAGCCTGTCTCGGAGGAAGAAGTGACTTGTTACTGTTTCCCACATGGCCTCCACAAGCACCACCTGGTATGGAAAGGAGGGTGCTTCTTCATTGCTGCTTTTAGAGTAGATCCAGCTCCCCATTTGCTCTCCAGTCATATCAAGGTGTGGAAGGAGAGTGAGGGGCTTATTACCACAAGTTGGGGATGAAAGTTCCAACTTCTGCTATTCTGAGATACTATTCTGGAGGAGGGTTGGGACACCTTGTCACAGCCTGGCTGGTATGAAGATCTAAAGATCTAAGCTCTTCACTTGAGGTAATAGTGTTTTCTGTGGTACTTGACTACAGTAGAGTGGTTATTGTCGAAATGTTTTCTGCCTTGGTAGACTATTTCCTTGACCTTTGCCTAAAATAATAGGCTTTTGTTGGGAAATTCTCATATGTGCCTGTTAGTATTTCTATGTTGATGGCATTTTCAGCTAAAAGTCTGCAAATTATAAAGCAGAAAAGAAAACTTAGAGGATTCATCACTATACAATTTATTAAGTCCCTACCACATCTGCCTTGGTCTCTCCAGGTCTGAGTTTTCATATATTTTATATATAATGTTCAGGGTTTATAGTTTTTCTTAGTAGAAGGAATAGGGCAAAATACATTTACTCCATTTTTCTGGAAGCAGAAATTGGTTTACTTTCTGTAAGAAAGCAGTTGGTGAATTTCTGTCTAAATTCTCTGCCTTTTCAAGAGGAACTGGGCTTTACTTCTCAGATAACAACTGAGCAACGATAGACCTACAGGTGGCATTACTCTCTGTATAGGTAGAGAATAGGCTGAATATTAAATGTTAAGGAGCAGAATCATTGGAATTTAAATGAGGAAGGAGACTTAGTTTTTATTCACGTTAACCAGCCACCTGATGACATGCAACAGTGCGTTTGTTCATCAACATACCTTTTAGATGGCCTTTCTGCTTCTTTTTTGAATGGCTTTAATGCTAAAGAAAGCAAGTGTTTATCAAATAATCTATTTTTTAGATAATTCATTATTAGAAGTTAATTCATTATTAGAAAGATAATTTATTATTAGAAGGTAATTCATTATTAGAAAGAACAAAACGAGTCTTTTTTAATAAAAGAATAAATAAATTTAAATGTATTGAACTTTTATTGTTGTATGTCATGTAGGGTAATTTTGTATACATGTTGCATTTTACAAGACTTAAATCGTGTAATTTTATATACATCTTGTAGGGTAATTTTATATACATTTTATAAGGTAATTTTATATATATTATGCATTTAATTCTTGTAAGTAGCCCTCTGCCTTAGCCAGTTCGAGCTGCTATTAACAAAATATCTTATCTTGGGTAATTTATAAATAATATAAATGGATTTGTCATAGCTCTGGAGGCTGGAAAGTTGAAGATTGAGATGGTACCAGATTTGGGGTTGAGTGAGAGCCCATTCCAAACAGACAATTTCTCCTGGCTTCTCTCTCATGAGGCAGAAGTATGAAAGAAACATGAACATTGAGTCCCTACATGTCAAAAGAGATGGAACAGCTCAGCAGCCTTTGGGAGCTTCTTTTTGTAGGGAAATTGATCCCATTCATGAAAGCAGAGTCCACACGACTTAGTCACTTCCCCCAAAGACTCCATCTCTTAATACTATTGCATAGGGAATTAAGTTTCAACATAAATTTATTTTGTAGAGACATAAACATTCAAACTATAGCATTCTGTCCCTGGTCATCCCCCGAAATATATGGTCTTCTCACATACTAAGTACATTTATTTCATCTCCCAAATCCCAAAGTCTTAACTCATTCCAGCATCCACTTTAAAATCTAAATCCAAAGTCTTATCTAAATATCATCAAAATCAGATATGGTGTGGCCAATTTTCTAATATTGAACCATCTTTAACATCCTCATCCTCTTTCAACGTGGTTTATTATTCTTTTAGCATACTGTTCGTTTGTTTATGTACTATTGAATAGTTTCCCTAACAGAGTATCCTTGCTGTCCTATATATTTTGTTTAATGAAACTCAGAATGAATTCAGAAACTTGTTGTTTCCTGTACTTAAAAAATCTAAAAAAGAATTATGTGCTTTTTAATGATAAAGATTAGATATTAAAATTTTCTGTATTCAGCGACATTGGAGGTGATAATGAGAGGTAGCTGGAGACAGTTACATATCAAATTCTTTTGCTTCTTAGGGTTATTTTCTATTCAACTTTGCCTCAGCAACTTGAGTTAAATTTGGTAGTCTATATTATCTGACAATAATACTGATATTGCTGGAATTTTTACAATCAGAACAGAGTTTTACTCAAATTTCTTGCCCTTTAAAGTACATTATGCTGCACCCTTTATGAAATCCACTCAAGTTTTTAAAAAGAATGGTGAACGACTTAGGGAGGAAGAGAGCTGAGCAATGAAAAAAGAGGAGAAAAGAGCATAGTGAGTTTTATAGAGAAGAGATCTAGAACTACATTTATGCCCCTAGAAACCAGGATTAATAGTTTTGGAAATTTTAAGAATTCCCCAGCACTTGCAACTCCCTCTCATTTGTTATATATTCCTTGTTTTCCTAGAGTTACAAGAATATCAATGAAAGATGTAAAAATAATTTTAAGAATTTGCATTTGTGCTATGCAATCTAGGACAGAAGGGGAACAATGGAACTCTTTCTCCTTGGCAGCTGGCTTTATTAAGATAAAGGAGGAGGGAAGCCTGCTGGAAGCATCAATGAGCAAGAGTCCCAGATATTCTTAGATTGTATTAATGGCCCTCAAATTCTAGACTCAGAAACACCCACAAAGAGAAGCAACAATCAGAAATTGCATGCTATTAATATTTTATTGGTATACTGAAGAAAGAGTTATGACCACATTATTTCAATGTCATGGCTTTCTGAAGGAAGTTATCTTCTTATTTATTTTCTGAAACAAAAAAAAAAACCAAGGAAATTTATACACAACATACAACATGGCAAAACTTATCTAATTCCTTGATGATATTACTGAAGTAAATTATTGCTTTCAAGATTAAGAAAACAGATTTTTTTATGGTGTTTATGTTTTGGTTACTGTTCAAAACATTCAAGGTTATATTTATGAAAATGACTGCAACTTGAACCTGTAGTAGTGAAAAACTAATACAAGCCTACATATCAATTAACAGTGGTTGACTGAGGAAATCATGGTACAGTCACACAAGAGAATAGTATACAATTGTAACAACAAAAGAAAAATGTACAAATAAATCACCAAGAAGATCTATAGGTCTCCGTGAAATGATAAAGTTGTCTAAGACATGTATTATTTGAAATAAGCAAATACAGATCTGCATATAAAATAATATGTCATTTGTGGGAAAAATAATGACGTATGCTTATATACATATAAATATTTCCAGGAGGATGTTCAAAAAATTAAGGGTGGTGACTTTTGGTGAAGGGTGTGGGTAAGTAGGATAAGGCGTCACTTTAAGATTTAGCTTCATACCATTCTGTTCAGTTAGATTTTTTTTTCCTTGAGCATGTACTAATTTCAAAATAAGTATTTTAAAAATTAAATAAGATATAAGAGCATCAAGTTCAAGTATCATTTAGCAGGGACACTGGACCTGAGAGGCTAGTGTGAGGCAGGACTGAGCAAAGAGTCCTCTGGCGGAAACCTGAGAGAAACCTGAGATGGAGAGTCCTTGGGTTTGAGAAGGCAGACTCAAAGACAGGAGGCAGAGCACCAAAGGGAGAGCACACCCCACTTCCTCATTACCAACTCATTTTAATGAGACAAGTCATCTTAAGAAAAAAGTTGGGGAGGTCAGTATTTCAAAAGATAAGAATTCTTTGAACCACTTGTTAAAAATACAAGGACTTGCAACCTTATCCAAGAATATCTGAATACAAATCTTTAGAAATGGGGTCCAGGATTATGTAATTTCAACATATTTCCAATTGATTTGTGAACACGATAAAGTTTGGGAATGGTAGCAGTTTGGGCATTTAATGGAGAATGAACTGGAATCATACCTGCCACTGAATTCTAGATTACCAGAGTGGTTGCTCCTGGGGATGTCTTGCTGGTCTGTCCCTCTGGAAGAATGATGATGCTTCCTGCAGGCTGACAGAAGGAAATCGGGGTAGAGAGAGTTGACGGTGTCCTCGTCGGGGTGGTCGTTGCTGATTTTGAAAAGGAGGTGGGGGAGGATGGCGGTGATGGCCTCCTGGTTTTGGTGGTCTCTGCTGAGGACCATCATCTTGGTTACCACTATCACCAGGGGGTCTAGGTAGGAGTCCTTCAGGAGGAGGTCTCTGGGGTCCCTGATCTGGTCTCTGACTTGAGTCCTCTACATCTGTGTGAGTAATTAATGGACAAGAATGCATGAGCTCAGTGAAGAAAAACTCTCCTCTCTTTATACTTCTCTCACCTTACCACACAGCCCTGTTCTCCCCAAACCTGCTGCTTGACTGTCAACTTCTTTTGTGCCCACTGTTTTTTTTTTCTTTTTATGCAGCTCTCAACTTAATCCATGTAAGAGTGATATGGAAAGTCTCATTTATTTGCTCCTGTGACAAGTATGTTTCCTTAAATGAAAAGAGGGGTTCTTGCATATCTTAGAGTTGCCAGAGGATGTCTCCAAGGACAGAAAAAAAAAAAAAAGCAAAAGCATTATAGCTTTCAGTTATGTTACTGGTTATTTTTTATTTTTATTTTTTGGTTGCTGTAATGACTTACAAACTGTGACTCCATCTCTGGGCACCTAAGCCCTATGTGGAAACTAGAGCTGATTTCCCAGGCTCCTGGAACCAAGTAGAGAAATACTAAGAGACAGAAGAGAAAGACAATGTGAAAGCCTGCACATGATCACTAAACAGCTGTGGCAACTATTTATCATCTGTAGTGACACAGCTGAGTGGGTCAACACAGAGAAAAGACATTCATGCAGTGATTTTTTTGTTTTGTTTTGTGTTACTCCCTGAAGCCACATAACCGTGCGGGGGAACACTGGGGGAAGAAAGAAGCAGTTAAGGATGGAGGAGTCAGAATGAGAACACTTCTCATTTGTTCATCATCTCTCAGCAGTCATTCCAGCCTGGGAAAAAAGCCTGCCCACTCCTATTGTCCTCAAAGCCAGGCATCTCTGTATTCAAGTTGGTGGCCTGGC
Source organism: Homo sapiens (assembly GCF_000001405.40). NCBI lineage: Eukaryota > Metazoa > Chordata > Mammalia > Primates > Hominidae > Homo > Homo sapiens. The sequence continues at coordinate 46,887 of NW_003571050.1, forward strand.
TCATGGTCCCCAGAATCAAAGATGGGTAAGAATTGCCTATATATTTAGGGGCACTAATATTAATCAATGCCTGACCCCTCTTACCACCTCCTCCCAAAAAAATGATGAGAAGAAGACACTGAAGGAAACTAAAAAGAAATTCTAGTGGAAAAAGAAAGAAAAGAATTGGATTGAGGATCATTGGGATTTACCTGGTATGGTGAAAGTAAAGTCTTCATAGTTCACATCTAGGAAAAGAAGCACAGGATGAAGTGAACATTACCTCATAAATCTTTCAGGGCTCATAGTGGTCTATAGGGAAAGGGGTCTTCTGGCCACACCCTGTGCATCCCCTAAGTTACCTCATCAACCATGTTCTGTGAAGCTGCTGGAAGGGGAGGAAGATGTTAGGGGAGGCAGGATTGTTACTATCGCTGAGCATCAACCACGAATTCAATAGAAGAGTCCCTTTTTGTCATCCTTAGGATCCCTCAAACCCTAATGCTAATTTAGGCACACTTCTCTGGGTATTTTCATGTCATATTTTAGATCTTTACCTTCTTCCTTCTTTAAATATTTTGATCATATTCACAAGCTTGCCCAAGAGGAGCAACCAGGAGTAAATATTTGGATATAATCTTACACATGCTGCCTGCAACATATTGAAATTTTAAATGTGATTGGAAGAAAAATGGGAATTTGGGGACCTGATATTTCTATACCACTATGTAGAAAGACACAAATGTATTATCCAGTCCTCTATGTCTGACAGTACTCTGATGTTTGTTTATCTCTTTCATTGATTCTGCATCCCCTGTACAGCAAGGACACCATCATCGCTGTCCACTGAGATTACTGTAGCATCTTCATAGCTGGACTTCCCTGGATCAGTCTTGCATTCTCCACTGCATCCTTCACAGCACAGCCAGGTCTTTCTAAAAATACAAATCTTACTTTGTCATTCCTCTAATTGAAATTCTCTATTGGGTTCCAAGTGTATATCAAATAAAGTATAAGGCCTTGGCATGGAATGAGGGCACAACAGATGTCATCCTTGGAATGAGAGCTCCAAAGCCCTACCCTTCTTCTCAACCTCCTTCCTCCCCTCCTGCTCTTCCGCTGCAGTGGTGTAGGGTGAACCCCTGAGGCCCTAGAAGAGTCATGGCCCCTCATCCCACTCCCCATCTCCTTTTTTAAAAAAATAATTTTTTTACCATTATCTGTGCTCTGAGCTGAGCTCAGAGCCAGAAGGACCACTGAGAGCAGGACCAGCAGCATCTTGAAGGAGGCTCTGGAGTTGCTCCCAACTCTGCGTTGAGAGAAACATGGCAGCTCCCTTTATAAACATGAGCAGAACAATGGCACCTTTGAGCTCCATACTGGGTGGACCTCACCACCTGAAAGATTAGGTTTTGCTTTCCTCTCATAAAGTTGAATGCGTCTCTTATTACTTTTTGGGATTTTAGCCCAGCAGGATGTGGTGGTAGGATGTGGTTAGGTACAAACTGTGACTTGAGCATAGTTTCTGAAGAAACAGTATCCAAGCAATCAGCACAAATACTACAATTGAAGTTTGGTCATCATTTGATTTTCAATTGGGTTAGACAGTTAGTCTTTCCCCTTCATTGGTTGTCTGTGTGCACACGTGCTTACGTTTGTATATGTTTGTCAGCAGTGATCTTATAGCCAGAAGTGAAAATGATTAATATCTCTAGCTATTAGTGTAGCATAAATTCCATTTTTATAGCATATATACCTATATGGATGATATGTAGCTTAATTTCATAATAATATAGAGATCATTTCTGTTTAATGTTGAGTTGTGTGAGGACAACACACACTTGGGCACACGTGGATGACAGAAGTTTTACCCTCAGGCTACTCTGGCCCAAAGAGATTAAGATTCTCCTAATCTAGCATTAACCAGAGATACTTTATTGTTGTAGAACACAGGTATTAAAACATTCTATCTTTATTAATACCCTGGAGGTTAGTAAGGCAAAATTGGCCACAGAAAGCACCATTAGATTTCTGCATCAGAACAGTGTGAATACACAGTTCCTTGAACAAGCCATGCTATTTTATGTCCCTAAGACTTCTTCCATGATCTTTCTCTTTTCTAGAATGTTCTATATGATTCAGTTTAGGTCTTACTTCTTGTACCAAATATTTTAATCACACTGGTTATTGAGTGGACACAATAATACAATCTAATTAGATAGTATGATAGCCTGTTGAAAGCCTCAAGTATTACATTGATTTTCTATTTTTTAATTAGTTTCCATTCTATTTGCTTCTCAGATTGCCTTTACCAAAGATTATTTTCTCTGCAATATTCTTATACTCATTCTTCTTCACTCTTGTGCTGAACCTTACTTGTTGATATGTTATATTGTGAATCAATCCTCCCTATGTCTATGTTTTATATCTTACTGCTTTCTTCATGCGTTCTGGGAGAAATCTTTATTTGATTTTCTAAACAAGGTTCTGTACTTCTCTTTGCTTGCTTTCTTCTTTTTTGTTTTTAAAATTTGGCACCAAGGTTTTGTGTTTCTGAAAAGTTTGGTAGGGTCCTGAGTTGGTAGCTTAATCTTCACCTGCTGATTTTTCTGTCCTATCTAGTAGTTTTCTGCTTATATTTTCATGGAACCCCTAGATCAATCAGTATCACCAGCTGCCACTTTTCATTACAGGCATTGTATAGGTCTCGTATTATTGTTACATTTTTGTACAGGGCTGGTGATAATTTGAGGATAGCTTGGTTGGAAGTATGACAGGGTCGGGGGAATGTGACTGGAAATCTTAAAGACAGGCCTCTTGACCATTGTGGATAAGTGGATCCTGTGCTGTGCAGATGAAGGTCTGGTCTGGCAATTCTGAAGGGTTGGAGGTAATATTACAGGAAGATTTTCTAATCAATGGTGTTTGTTATGGATAACTTTACTTTGGCAAAGTGACCAAAAAATAAATATTTTCTCTGGCATAATTATGGACATATTTTGAAGGTGAAATATATTATGAGTTAGCAATTCTTCTCTATGTGGGAAGCAGAAGAGTTCTAGCTGTGCTTTAGGGTTTTATGGGTGAGAGAGAGTAGTTGTTTGGGCCTACAGACCCAGCTGTGTTACTAGGATTGCTGCCTCTGATTTCACCAGACACTGTTTAACATGGGAAGTGGAGATAAGTAGTTCTGCCTAGGTGGCTTATGGTAGACCATCAGGTAGGAAAGGAAGGTCAGCGAGAAGGAGCAGAGGGGCGTGCCATGCAGACATGATTCACTGTGTGGGTGGCTGAGGAAACTGCAGTCCTGGTGGAAGGCAGGCTTCTCCTTGGCTGGTGAGTGCAGGAAGACAACAGGTGATGCCTGCAAATATCACTCAGCTCAGACCCTTACCCTGACATTCTCCAGTGTAAGCAATGAGAGAAAGAGATTAATGTATCAGGAAATAATAAACATCAGCTATGATCTCACCACACACAACCACAACAGAGGTGACGGAGGAGCTGAAACAGACACTGTCAGTGAGTGAGGGTGGGGTCAAATCGAGAAGCAGGACTGCAGCAGGAGCTTAGGCACTTGTAGGTGAGTGGACACTCTCAGCAATCCACTTGCCTTTTACAACAGATGAAAACTTAACATACCCCTAATATAATTCTTGATTTCTACTTCCTAAAACCTGCTCTCCTTCATACTAATTTGTTATGGCTACCCTAAAAAAATGCCCCACAAGTGGCTTAAACAACAGAAATTTACTTTCTCATAGTTCTGGAGCTTGAAGTACAAGATTAAGGTGTCAACAGGTTTGGTGTCTTCTGAGGCCCTGTCTCCTTCACTTCTAGATGGCCGGTTCTTGCTGTATCTTCACATGGGGTTTTATCTGTAGACGTGCATCCCTGGTACCCCTCTGTGGTCTGTGCTAATGTTCTTTTCTTATGAGGACAGGTGTCAGATGGGATTAGCACCAACCCTATCAGCTTCATTTTAACCTAATCACCTCTTTAAAGGCCATGCTGCAAATAGAGTCACATTCAGTGGTATCGGGGGTAAGGGATTCAACATGAGAGTTTGGAGGGAACACAATTTAGCTGATAACACCTCACAATCTTTTCTCAGTTCATGACATTTGTTTCACTCAACCATTCAAAAACATAAGTGTCACTCTTGATTGTTTAGTCTCCTCCGTGTACTGCCCTTAGCAAATCCAATTGGTTCTACCTTCAAAAGATATCCCATATATGATCAGTTTCATAATCTCTATCAGAAGGTCCTGAGTCAAGCCATGATTCTCCCTCCTGGAGGACTTTCAACAGTCTCCAGCTGATCTTGGTGACATTCCTGCCCCTCACCACATCCCAAGCAGTTCTCCTTACAACAGCCAGAGTGATCTTTTAAAAATAGAATTTAGAACATCAGCAAGATGGCTGACTAGAGTTCCCTGGCACTCATTTCCCCACAAAAAGAAATCAAGAAAACAAACAATTTTATGTCAGCCAGTGTGATTTAAAAAGTATGCTGGAGACCACCAGGGGAACAGAAACACCTCTGTGAAGTACAGAAACTCAATATAGCATCCTGCCTCTGACATACTCTCTCTTCAGTCAAGGTTGGCTCAGGGTCATCAGTAACTCCATTCTACAGGAAAAAGTAAGCTGTAGTTCCCCAGTGGTCCACATTGCCATAAAAAATGTCAACAATCTTTGCCCCACTGTTCTCACTGGCACAAAAACCAGTCTGGAGAGCAGTTGGGATTTCCAAACTGCATTGCCTTACATAGTAAGAGACCACCTTGAGCACCCTCTGCCCCTGCAATGTAAGGTGCTATGGCTCAGTGCCATCTCCAAACTGAACCTACATAGAGAGTGTGTCTTGCTTTGAGCATCAGTAGCACCTGGCTCTCTATCACTTGAGGCCCCACCATCATTCCAACACATTCATACAGGTATCTGCAGCACCATGACCCTAGCTTCCCAGAGCCTAGCCAGATAAACTAATCAAGACCCCGGCATCCGAACCCATGTGGTGCACCACCAATCCAGGGAAGAAGTGAACAGCAGGGAAGCCACCCATCTGCCTACTAGCCACGACACCCACATGCACCCACACCTCACAACCAGCTAGTCTGCTGAGCCTGTGCATGCTGGTGCCCAGCCTGAAAACTGGTCCTGTGGTGGGCCCACCCCCAGGACTACAGCCTGCTTGGGCCACAACAACTCTGAGTTTGTGCATGGTCTAATAATTGGTCCTGCAGTGACCCTGCCTCCTCAGATGGGACTCTGCAGAGATGGATGGCCCTGCTACACCTGTGAGCACTGACAGCAACCCGCCCACCCAGCAGGAAGACAGCAGTGCATGTAAGTGCACACACCTTGAGAAAAGGCTCTTCCCACTGCTGCTGGTGGCACAGTTGCTGCTGTCACCACCGGGGGCTGCAGCAGTGAAATGCCAGTTGGACCCAGCAAAGTGGCAGGATCCTCAGCATTCTAGCATATGCAGTGTTCTGCACCTCAGGCACTGGAAAGGCTGTGAACCAGACATAGGGAGCCAAAGCACATGCTTTCCAGAACCAGAGAGCTGCCTCCCTGTGGCTGCTGACACAGACAGCAATGTCACCCCCGCAACACAGCAGCAGAGATGCTGCACACTTGCATGCAACCTGGGGACAGGCCCTCTCCATCTGCTGCTGAGTCTGCTGATGCAGCTGGGGGCCAGAGCATGTGCCACTGGCAGTGACCTGACTTCCACCAGCAGCAGAGCCACTGTGAACTTGCACGTACCCTGAGGACTGGCTTATGCTGCTGCCAGAAGCCAAAGTGTGCTCCACATTGCCAGAGAGCTGCCTGCTAGTGGCTGCTGCCACTGACAATAACCACACCCTGCCCTAGCAGCACAGCTGCAGCAAATTTGCATGTGCCTCGAGGACAGGCTTTCTTCAGGTATTGCTCCTGCTATTGGGAGATCCAAGGATTACCCCATCCAACTTACCACAGCCAACATCCATGTACATAACTAGGGGGACTGAGGACAGGCCTGCCAAGCCTGGTTCCATCATCCCAGTGCCCAGGCACACTACCCAGGGGTGTGGCAATCATCCTGCTTTGTCCACCACCACTGGCATTTGCACATTCCTTTAGGAGGACTGAGAATGGGCCCAACCAGCCTGACAGTAGCACTGTAGCCAGAAACAATATGCATGCAACATCTGAAGGTCTGGAGACTGGCCCCCAGCCCATCACAACCACCTCTAACACCAGAGCTTGCAACTTGAGAATCTGAGGGTTGTCCAACCAAGCTACAGAAATTGCCCATGGCAAGCACATTCCCAGAGGCCTAAAGGCCCACCCACCCTTTCAGCCTACCATTGCAACTGCTAGTACCCAGGTAAGCTACTTAAAGCCCCCAGAATTGTTCTGCTTAAAGCTGCTAAAACTGGTACAAACATATGTTGCCTAGGTGCCAAATATAGGCACTCTCAGCCCACTGTTACCCCTACTGGGGCCCAAGAACTGGCCCACCTAAAATCTCTGTCCCCAGGAAAACCTCACTACAGCCTCCAATCACAACTACAGCCTAAGCCACTGAGGAAGTCACAGACACCACTTATGCTGTTAATAGCTGAAGGAATAATATAAGACCACCTTACTGTACACACACAGAATCAAAGCCAAAGTGTCCTACTGAATCAACACCACAGATACATCTTCAGAAAGAAAAGTTAATGTTTTGGATCTATGTCACTGCCCAAATCTCATGTTGAATTATAATCTCCAATGTTGGGGGAGGGGCTTCATTGGAGGTAATTGGATCATGGGGGTGGATCCTTCATGAATGGTTTAGCACCATCCCCTGCGTACTATTCTTATGACAATGAGTGAGTTCTCATGAGATTTGCTTGTTTAAAAGTGTGTGTCACCTCCCCCCCACCCAGTCCTTCTCCTGCTATGTAAGATGCCTGCTCCTGCTTTGCCATTTGCCATGAGCAAAAGCTCCCTGAGGCCTCCCCAGAAGCAGATGTCACTATGCTTCCTGTACAACCTATGAAACTGTGAGCCAATTAAACCTCTTTTCTTCATAAATTACCCACTCTCAGGTACTTCTTTATAGCAATGTGAGAATGAACTGATACAGAAAATTGGTACCGAAGAGTAGGGCATTGCTATAAAGATACTAAAAATGTGGAAGCGATTTTGGAGATGGGTAATGAGCAGAGGTTAGAAGAGTTTGGAGGACTCAGAAGACAGGAAGATAAGGGAAAATTTGGAACTTCCTAAAAACTTGTAAATTGTGACCAAAATGCTAATACTGATATGGAAAATGAAGTCTGGGCTGAGGAGATCTCAGATAAAAATAAGGAACTTATTGGGAACAACTGGAGCAGTCACTTTTGTTATGCTTTAGCACAGAGCCTGGGTGCATTGTTCCCCTCCTTTAGGGACTTGTGGAACTTTGAACTTGTGAGTGATGATTTAGGGTATCTGGTGGAAGAAATTTCTAAGCAGCAAAGTGTTCAAAATATGACCTGGCTGCTTCTAACAACCTAAGCTCATATGCCTAAGCAAAGAAATGAGCTAAAACTCAAATTTGTATTAAAAAGGGAAGCAGAGTGTAAAAGTTTGGAAAACTTGCAGCCTGGCCATGTGGTAGAAAAAAAATTCCCATTTTCTAGAGAAGAATTTACCCTAGCTGCAGAAATTTGCATGAGTAAAGAATAACCAAATGTTAACAGCCAAGACAATGGGAGAAAGACATTGAAGGCATTTCAGAGACTTTCGTAGCCACACCCACATCACAGGCCTGGAGTCCTAGGAGGGCAGAATGGTTTCCTGGTCCAGGCGCAGGGCCCCACTGACCTGCACAGCCTCCAAACACTGTTTCCTGCATCCCAGCTGCTCCAGCTCCAGCTGTGGCTCAAAGGGGTCCAGCTGCAACTTGGGCTGCTGCTTCAGAGGATGCCAGCCATAAGCTTTGGCAGCTTCCATGTGGTGTTAAGTCTGTGAGTGTGCAGAGTGCAAGAGTTGAGGTTTGGGAGCCTCTCTTTTGATTTCAGAGGATCTACAGAAAAGCCTAAATGTCCAGGCAGAAGCCTGCTGCAGAGGCAGTGCCCTCACAGAGAACCTCTACTAGGGCAGTGCAAAGGGAAAATGTGGAGTTGGAACCCCTACACAGAGTCCCCACTGGGGCACTGCCTAGTGGAGCTGTGAGAAGAGAGCTGTCATCATGCAGACCCCAGAATGACAGATCCTCTGGCAGCTTGCACCATGCACCTGGAAAAGCTGCAGGCACTCAATGTCAGCCCTTGAGAGAAGCTGTGGGAAATGAACCCTGCAAAGCTACAGGGGTGGAACTGAAAAGGCCTTGGGAACCCACCCCTTCCATCAGTATGCCTGGTTGTGAAACATAGAAAGTCAAATGAGGTTATTTTGCAGCTTTAAGATTTAATGACTTCCCTGCTGGTTTCAGATTTGCATGGGGTCTGTAGCCCCTTTCTTTTTACAGCTTTCTCTTTTTTGGAACAGGAGTGTTTACCCAATGCTTGTACTCCCCTTGTATCTTGGAAGTAACTGTTTTTTGAATTTACAGGCTCATAGGTGAAAGAGACTAGCCTTGTCTGAGATCAGCCTTTGGACTTTCGACTTTTGAGCTAATGCTGAAATGATTTAAGACTTTGGGGGACTCTTGGGAAGGCATGATTGTATTTTGAAATGTGAGAAGGACATGAGATTTGGGAGTAGTGATGGGCTGAATGACATGGTTTGGATCTGTGTCCCCACCCAAATCTCATGTTGAATTGTAATCCCCAGTGTTGGGGAAGACTGGCATGTTGGGAGGTGACTGGATCATGAGGGCAGATTCTTCATAACTGGTTTAGTACTATTCTCTCACTGCTGTTCTCATGATGGTGAGTAAGTTCTCATGAGATCTTGTTGTTTAAAAGTGTGTTGCATCTCGCCCCCACTTGGTCCTGATCCTGCCATGTAAGACTCCTGCTCCAGCTTTGCCTTTTGCCACAAGTAAAAGCTCCTTAAGGTTTCCCCAGAAGCATATGCTTCTATGCTTCCTGTACAGCCTGCGGAACCATGAGCCAATTAAACCTTTTTTTGAAAAATAAATTACTCACTCTCAGGTATTTCTTTATAGCAATGTGAGAATGGACTGATACAAAAATCTTCCCCTATGAAAGCCAATTTAAAAAACAGAAGAAGCAACTATTTCACCAGATGCGCAGACATCAATGTAAGGACACAGGAAACATGAAAAAGCAAGAAAATATGACACCTCCAAATCAACACAATACTCCTCCAGCAGTAGATTCCAATGAAAAAGAAATTTATGTAATGTTGGGGAAAATATTTAAAAAATGATACTAATGGAGCTCAGTGAGATAGAAGAGAACACAGGTAAAAAATAGAAAGAAACCAGAAAACCATTTCAGGATATTAAAGAGAAATTCAACAATGAAATGGATATCATAAAAAAGAATCAAACAGAAACGCTGGAGATAAATAAATCAATAAATGAAAGAAAAATACATCTGAAAGCTTCAAAAATAGAATAGGTCAGTGAGAAGAAAGAATATCAGAACTTGAAAACAAATATTTTAAATAACCCAGTCAGACAAAAAAAGAGGGATAAAATGTGAAAAAGATGAACAAATCCTACATGACATATGGGATGCCATAAAGCAACCAAATTTTTGAATTTGGGTTTTTCCCAAAGGCAAAATGAAAGGCAAAAACATAAAAAACCTATATAATGAAATAATAGAAGAAAACCTCTCAAGTCTAGCAAGAGAGTTAAACACCTAGATACAGGAAGCTTAGATAGATACAACCCAAAAATATTTTCTTCATGTCACATTATACTCAAACTGTCAAAAGTCAAAGAGAAAAACACTATAGAAGTGGCAGAGCAATATGGTGGAATAGAAGGCTCCACCAATCATCCCACCCACAGGAACACCAAATTTAACAACTGCCTACATAATCAAAGCACTTCCATAAGAACCAAAAATCAGGTGATCACTCAAAGTACCTGCTTTTAACTTCATATTACTGAAAGAGGTACTGAAGAGGGTAGGAAAGACAGTCTTGAATTGCCATCGCCACCCTTGTCTTAACCCAGCAGCAACTACATAGAATGGAGAATCTGTAGACTTGGGGAGGGAAAGTGTGGTGATTTTGAAACTTCGCATTGAAATCAGTGCTGCCTTGTGACAATGGAAGGCAAAACCGGGGTGAACTCAGCTGATGTCCACCCACAGAGGGAGCATATAGACCAGCCCTAGCCAGAAGAGAACTGTACATTCCAGCAGCCAGAACTTGAGTTCTGGCAAGCCTTGTCACTGTAGGCTAAAGTAGTCTGGGTCTCTAAATAAATTTGAAAGGCAGTCTAGGCCACAAGGACTACAAATCCTAGGTGAGTCCTAGTGCTCAGCTGGGCTCAGGGCAAGTAGACTGGTGGGGGCGGTGGGTACATGACCTACTGAAACATCAGCTGGGGTGGCTAAAGCAGTACTTGGGCCATCCCTCCCTCAACCCCCAGCTACACAGCTTATGGCTCCAAAAGAGACCACTTCCTTCCACATGAGGAGAGGAGAAGGAAGAGTGAGGAGGACTTTGTCTGGCATCTTGGATACCAGCTTAGCCTCAGTAGGATAGAGCTCTGGTCAGAGTCATGAAGCCCTGATTTCAGACTCTAGCTCCCAGATGACATTTCTAGACACACACTGGGCTGGAAGGAAACCTACTGCATTGAAAGGAAGAGCCAAGTAATGAAAGAACCAATCACCTGCTGATTAAAGAGCACTTGGGCCTTGAATAACAAGCGGTGATATCCAGGTAGTATGCTGTGGGCCTTGAGTGAGACTCTGAGATGTGCTGGTTTCCAGTGAGACCCAACACATTCCTAGCTGTGGTGGGTATGGTCAGAGATTCCTCCTGCCTGAGAAAAGCAGAGAGAAAAAGTAAAGGGGACTTTGTCTTGAACCTTAGGTACCAGGTCAGCCACAGAGAAGTATAACACCAAGTGGGCTCTTGAGGTCCCCAATTCCAGGCCCTGGCTCTTGGACAGCATTTATGGACCTGCTCTGGTCCAGACGGGGAGCCCACCACTATAAAAGGTGAGTCCTAGATCTGGCAGCATTATTCACCACAGGCTGAATGAAGAGCCCTTGGTCCTTAAGTGAGCATCAGTGGTAGCCTGAGAATATTCCCATAGGCTTGTGGTGATGGTGGCCAGGGGGCAAGGTGCCTGCATATGAAAAGGGAAGATTAGAATGGGAAGAATTGCATCTACTGGTTTGAGTGCCAGCTTAACAGCAGTACAATAGAACACAAGGTAAATTTCCAAAGTTTTGGACTCTGGTCCGTGGCTCCTGGACAGCATTTTTGGACCTGCCTGGAGCTAAGGGATCTTGCTGCTATGAAGAGAAGCACATAAGCCTATCCGTAAGCCCCAAAGCAGTACTAAGAAGGAAGATTATTGCTATATGTGCCTACATCAAAAAATAAAAAAACTTCACATAAACAATCTAATGATGCATCTTAAAGAACTAGAAAAGCAAGAGCAAACCAAACCCGAAATTAGTAGAAAAAAGAAATAAAGACTAGAGCATAAATAAATGAAATTAAAATTAAAAAATACAACAGAAGAATGAAACAAAAAGTTTGTTTTTTGAGAAGATGAACAAAATTGACAAACCTTTTGACAGACTAACCAGGAAAACAAGAGAGAAAACCCAAATAAATAAAATTAGAGATGAAAAAGGAGATATTACAACCTACACCACAGAAATTCAGGGGATTATTAGAGACTACTGTGAGCAACTATATGCTAATAAATTGAAGAAACTGATAAATTCCTAGACAAATGTAACCTGCCAAGATTGAACTATACAGAAATCCAAAAACCTGAATAGACAAATAACAAGTGATGAGATCAAAGCCATAATAAAAACTGTCCTAGCAAACAAAAGACCAGGACCTGATGACTTCAATGCTAAATTTTACCAAATATCTAAAGAAGAACTAATACTGATCCTTCTCAAACTATTCTGAAAAATAGAAAGGGAAGGAATACTTTCAAACTCATTTGGTGAGGTGAATATTACCCTAATATGAAAACTAGACAAAGACACATTAAAAAAAATACAGGCCAATATTTTGGATGAACATTGATACAAAAATTCTCAACAAAATGCTAGCAAACAGAATGCAACAGCCCATTAAAAATACAATTCATCATTACTATGTGGCATTTATCCCATGGATGCAAGAATAATTCAACATGTGCAAACCAATGAATGTTGATAAATCATATAAACAGAAGGAAGGACAAAACTAATATGCATTGCAATAGATAATGAAAATCATTTGATAAAATTCAACATTCCATCATGATAAAAATCATCAAAAACTGGGCATAGAAGGAAAATGCATCAACATTATTAAAACCATATATGACAGACCCACACCTAATATCATACTGAATGGGGAAAAACTGAAAGCTTTCCTCTAAGATCTGGAACATGACAAGGATGCTCACTGTCATCATTGTTATTCAGCATAGTACTGGAAGTTCTAACTACAGCAATCAGATGAAAGAAAAGAGAACGGAAGGGAAGGGAAGGGAAGGGAAGGGAAAGGGAGGGAAGGGGAGGGAAGGGGAGGGGAGGGCAGGGGAGGGCAGGGGAGGGGAGGGGAGGGGAGGGGAGGGGAGGGGAGGGAAAAGAAAAGAGAGCATCCAAAATGGAAAGGAAGGAGTCAAATTATCTTTGTTTGCAGATGATGAAACTTTATGTTTGGAAAAAAATAAAGACTCCACAAAAATGTATTAGAACTGATAGAAACATTCAGTAAAATTTCAGGATACAAAATCAACATACAAAATTCAGTAACATTTTTATATGCCCACAGGGAACAGTCTGAAAAAGATCAAGAAAGTATTCTTATTTACAATAGCTACAAGTAAGATAAAATACCTAGGAATTAACCAAAGAAGTGAAAGATGAAAAGTATAAAAGTATAAAACATTGGTGCAAGAAATTGAAGATAACACACTAAAATGGAAAGACATTCTATGTTCACGGATTGGAAGAATCAGTTTTGTTAAAATGTCCATACTACCCAAAGCACTCTGCAGATTCAATGCAATCCCTATCAAAGTATCAATGACATTCTTCACAGAAACAGAAAATACAATTCTAAAATTCATATGGTACCACAAAAGACTCAGAATAGCCAAAGCTGTCCTAAGCAAAAAGAACAAATTTGGAGGAATCACATTACCTGACTTTAAATTGTCTTAAATACTACAGAACTATGGTAACCAAAATGGCATGACACTGGCATAGAAACAGACATGTTTGGACTGTGAGCCTGGCCTCTATGAACCATCGTTTCAGCTCCTGATTGGTCCAGAGCCAAGGCCCTGGGCCAAGCTGAGTCACAAGTTCTCCAAGACAGCCCATGGACTAAGTGCATTCCTTCCCCTTCCCAGTCCATAAACACCCTGGACCCCAGCCTCATAGAGGGCAATCCATTTGGGTCCCTCTTTCCGCTGGCAGAGAGCTTTCTTCTTTTGTTTGTTAAACTTATGCTTTAACCTCACATTGTGTCTGTGCTTCTCAATCATCTTGGACGTAGGACAAAGAACTTCAGATATTATCTCAGACAATAAGAGACTGCTATCTGGGTCCGTTGGCAAAACTACAACATTACAACAAGAAAACTTTGGGGAAACTCTCCAGAACACCATAGTGGGCAAAGATTTCTTGAGTAATACCTCACAAGCACTGGCAACTAAAGCAAAATTAAAATTAAAAAAAAACTTCAAAGATAAAAATTATTAAAAAGAGAAAAGCATCCAGTCATATGTAAGGGAACTATCACCAGATCAAAAGAGAATTTATCAACAGAAAGTTTATAGGCTAGGAGAGAATAGTATGGAATATTCAAAGTTCTGGAAGAAACACTTTCAGTCATACATACTATACTCAGAAATGTTATCCTTCATAAATAAAGAGGAAATAAAATCTTTCACAGATAAGCAAAAGCTTTAGACTAACCTTACAACAAGTGCTCAAGGGAGTTCTACATCTAGAAGCAAACAGATGATAATCACTATTTTGAAAATACATAAATACTCACTGTTAGAGAAGACACACAAAGAATAAAGAGAATCAAGCCTTATTATTTCAGAAAACTAAAAGAAATGATAAACAATAAGAGAGGAAGAAAGGAAGAAAGGGACATATAAAACAACCAGGAAACAATGAGCAATATAGAAAAACCAAAACCTCACATGTGAATAATAACCCTGAGGTAAACAAATTAAATTCCCCATTTAAAAGATATATAAGTCATATAAAAGGGAACCTCCATTAGATTAACAACGAATTTGTCAGAAGAAACCTTACAGGCCAGGAGAGAATGAGATGACATATTCAAAGTATTGAAACAAAAAAAATCTTATCAGCCAAGAATACTATTTCCAGCAAAGCTATTCTTCAAAAATGAAGTAGAAATAATGGCGTTCCTAAACAAGAAAAACTGGAAATTCATCACTACTACACTGGTCCTACAAGAAATCCTGAAGGAAATTCTATACTTTAAAGCAAAAAGACAATATGGTCCATCACAAAAACACACACAAGTATAAAACTCACTGGTAAACCAAATACACAAATGAAAAAGAGAAAGGATTCAAATTTTACCACTACATAAAATCAACAAATGACAATTATAAACAATAAAAAATATAGAAAGGTAAAAGGACATATGAAATAACCAGAAAACAATTAATAAAATGACAAGAATAAATCCTCCGGTAGTAATAAGCTTGATGGTAAATGAACTAAAATTTTCAGTTTAAAGATATAGACTGGCTTAATGGATTTTAAAAAGCGTGACACAAGTATATGCTGCCAATAATAAAGTAAATTTCTCTGTAAAGACACATGGACTTAAAGTGAAGGGATGAAAAATGATATTCTATGCAAATAGAAACAAAAAGTGAGAAGTACTATACTTGTATCAGATAAAACAGATTTTAATTTTTAATTTGCAAACAGCAAAAAGACACAAAAAAGGTCATCATGTAAGATAAAGGGATCAATTCAGCAAGAGGGATAATACAATTCTAAATATTCAAACAACACTGGAGCACCCAGATATATAAGGCAAATATTATTAGACATAAAGGGGGAGATAGATTCCAACAGAATAATAGTGAGGGACTTCAATGCCCCATTCTCAGCCTTAGACACATAATCCAGAGTGAAAATTAAGAAATAAACATTGGATTTTAACTGCACTTTAGACATGTCTCAAAAAAAAGTATACGAATGTCCAGTAGGTATATAAAAAATGCTCAACATCACTCATCATCAGGGAAATGCAAATTAAAAACACAATATCATCCTTCTCCAGTTAGAATGGGTATTATTAAAAAGAAAAAAAAAACAGATGCTGGTGAGGATTCAAGGAAAAACTCTTACATACCGTTGGTGGGAATGTAAATTAGTACAGTCACTATGGAAACAATATGGAGATTTCTCAAAATAACTAAAAATGGAATGACCATATGATCCAGCAATTTCACTTCTGGCTATTTATCCAAAGAAACAGAAATGAGGACATCAAAGGGATACCTATATTCAAATGTTGACTGCAGCACTATTCACCATAGCAAAGATATGGAATCAACCTAAGTGTCCGTCAGTGGACAAATGGATTAAAAAAAAACAGTGGTATATATACACAATGTAATACTATTCAGCCATAAAAAAAGAATAAAATCATGTAATTTGTAGCAACATGGATGGAACTGGAGGGCATTATGTTAAGGGAAATAAGCCAGGCACAGAAAAACAAACAGTGCATGTTCTCACTTATGTTGATCACACAGAGGTAGAGAATAGAATAATGGCTACAAGAGATGGACCAGTGTTTGTGAGGCAGGAGGACAAGTATGAAGAGAGGTTCATTAATGGGTTCAAACATACAGTTAGAAGGAATAAATTCAAATATTTGATAACAGATTAGGGTGACTATGTTTAACAATATTTCAAAATAGCTAGAAGAAAGGACTTGAACAGTTCCCCAAACATAGAAATGATAAATACTCAAGATGACAGATACCCTAACTTGATCATTATACATTCTATATGCTTATAACAAAATATCATGTGTCCCATAAATATGTACAAACATTATGTATCAATTTTTAAAAATCAGGATTGATAGCTTTACTGCTGAATTCTACCAGACATTTAAAGAGGAATTGATACTAATTATCCTGAAACAATTCCAGATATTGCAGAGGAAGTAATACTTCCAAACGCATTTTACAAAGCCAGCATTACCCTGATTCCAAAACCAAAGATACAACAAATAAAAAAGCCACAAGCCAACATCCCTGATGAATATCAATGCAAAAATTCAACAAGATTTTAGCAAAGTGAACGCAGCAGCACATGAAAACGATCATTCACTATGATCAAGTGGGTTTTATTCAACATATACAAATCAATAAATGTGATGCACCCTATTAACAAAATGAAGGACAAAGGCCATATGATCATCTCTATAGACACAGAGAAAGTATTTTATAAAATTCAATATCCCTGCATAAGAAAAGCTCACAAGAAATTAGACACACAAGATATGTACCTCAACACAAAAAGGCCATATATGACAAACCCACAAGTAACATCATGCAGAATAAGGAAAGGTGAAAGATTTCCTCTAAGATTAGGATAAAGATAAGGATGTTCACTTTCATCACTCCTATTCAACATAGTATTAAAAGTATTAGCTAGATATACTAGGCAAGAGATAGAAACTAAACAAATTGAAATTGAATAGAAGGAAGTCAATTGTTCATCTTTTCGGATGACATGATCTTATTTATAGAAAACTCTAAAGACTTCAACAAAAAACTGTTAGAATAAATCTGGTAAAGTTGCAGAATAGAAAATCAATGTACAAAAATTAGTAGCATTTCTGTATGCTAATGGTGAACTATATGAAAAATAATTCAGAAAACAATTTCATTTACAATAACCAAAAAAGAATAAAATACTTAGGAATAAACTTAACCAAGGAGATAAAAGATCTCTAATACTGCAAACTATGAAACATTGATAAAAGAAATTGAAAAAGATGCAAATAAATGAAAAGATACTCTATGTTTATGGATTGGAACAATTAATATTGTGGAAGTGGCCATACTAATCAAAATGATCTTCAGATTTAATGCAATCCCAAACAAAATACCAATCAGCATACTTCACAGAAATAAAAAAAGCACACACATATTTTCCGTCTTTGAGTAATGTATGCTCTGAAAGGGGAAAAAGGCATTGAGATACAAAAGCACATTATAAGATAGAAAGCTCTATGTGCCATTTCCTGTCATTTACCTTGATATTAGATCCAGGAAACTCTCTCTATTTTTAGGCCAAATTATTAGCAAACTTAATTGCCCTTCGCCATGTAATTTAACATAAAACACAGGTTCTGGGAATTAAGATGTAAACATCTTTGTGAGGCCTATATTTTCCTCCTGCAGAGAGAACAGGTAATCTTACATCTCTCAAATTTGTTTCAGTTGTGTATGGAGACAGCTATCCCTGATTTGGTAATGTTTAAACTAGACTTTTGCAAAAGGATATGTATGAGTTTATATAAAATTTGATAGTATTGCATGTATTTATACTGTGCAATATGTATATGCAATAGTTTAAGTGACAAAACTAAGTGGTACAAATTTACCTTGAGGTTGGCTGCATTTGTAAGTTGGGGCAGTCACTTCTTTGGAGTGTTGTGCAGACTTGGGAATGAGAAGCTGTAGATTTCATTCTAACTCTGCCACTTACAGCAGGACAACCACTTGCAAAGCCCAGCTTTCTCTATTAAAATAAGACCCTAAATCTTCCCAA
The DNA here is from genome assembly GCF_000001405.40 of Homo sapiens. NCBI lineage: Eukaryota > Metazoa > Chordata > Mammalia > Primates > Hominidae > Homo > Homo sapiens. The sequence goes on from NW_003571050.1 coordinate 64,805, forward strand.
CACCAATAATGAAGATGACATTCTCAGATCAGGAAAATGAAGGGTTCTTCAGAAGGATCATCACTGTGTCAGGGGCAGCAACTGGAGATCTGAACAAAATAGCTACCTGGGCATCCAATCCCTCTACTGTGAAATGCATGATTCTCCAGACCTTTTCCAACACGCATAGAGCTTTCTGATCGTTTTAGTGCCTACTCTTAAGTATGAATTGAATCAAAGGTTGACCAGACAATTGAAGAAATTCTCCATCAAATGAGACTCAAAGAATCAGAACAAAGTGTAATTCTGAAGGAAAAGAGGTAAGATAAACAGCAGAAGAAACGTTTACAAGACTATAATTAATATATTCTGATATAACCATAAAACATAAAAGGATGCTATCAAATAGAAGATTGACCAGAGAACACAAAAGAATATGAGCAATTGTAAATTAAATTGATAAGTTCAATAAAATGTAAAGTTAAGGAAATCCCCTATGAGGTAGGGCAAAAAGGCAAAGATATGGTCCATAATGTGAAGACAATTAAAAAATTCACCCAACATGAATTTTAGAAAAAGAAAACAGAGTATATATTGGGAAAGACATTATCAATTAAATACTGCCATACATTACCCAGAACTTATGGATAATTCTCTCCATAATGAAAAAAGCCATTGATTATCTAAAAGACCAGATTTAACATTTTCAGGCCCCAGTGCAGGAAGACAAATGGAGGCTCACATACTCTATCTCTGAATAACCATACATTATAAAGTAAAATCGACCCTAGGTTCAGGTTAGGTTTCCATCCAAGTCCTGAAGCCTGTCCCTTGGAGACTGCCCTTCTAACCTGGCCTAGAGACAGAAGAATCATGTGTTTCCCTGCACCAACACTGACTGATCCTGCAAGCTGAGAGGTGGGAAAATACGGAGTGGCAGGGCTGTCTGCTGGAGCAGTGGGCAGGAGCTGAGATGAGGCCCAGCACTGACCTGGCCAAGAGACAGAAGAATCATGTGTTTCCCTGCACCAACCCTGACTGATCCTGCAAGCTGAGAGGTGGGAAAGTATGGAGAGCCTCTAATGAGTTTTCAGTTCAGCAAATCTAGTTACCAGTCCCCAGATTTCTGTTTGATTTTTCAAAATTATTTCAATCTCTGTTAAAATTCTCTGATAAATCAATAAATTGCTTTCCTATGCTATCTTGCAGATATCTGATTTCCTTAAAATTGTTATTTTGAATTCTTGATCAGAGAGCTAACCAACTGTCATGTCATTGGGGTCAGTAACTAGTTTGGTACCTTTGTCCTTTTGGGAAGGCCATGGCTCTTTGCTTGCTGTTGTTTCCTGTGGGTATACTTCTATGTCTTTCCATAGAAGGGTTATTAATTAATTCCAGTTTTTCAGGTCTGGGTTGTGTTTGTTGTTATTGAGTCTATTTGCTTGGCAAATCCTCACTGCTGGGCTGTTGCCTCCCTTTTGACTCTAGGTGGTGTCTCAACCTCACTTTTACCTTGTCTTTAGTAAACGGTTGGAGTATTAACTGTCCGAAATGGGAAATGTCCCAAAGGAATTACCCTGGAAGTATGAGAAACTTGGCTAGGGGTTATGGTCTGGTGACCTAAGGAATGTACCTCCTAAAGCATGGTGCTATTGAACATCTACCCTGATTTGGCTTCTCCTTTGGCCAAGTTATGAACAGTGTCCAGAACTGGAGATGATCTTCCCTCCTCCCTATTTTGTCTCTTGCTCTCTTCAGGAATATTCCTCCCTGAGGACAGAGAATATTCATCTTCCCTAAGGGAGTCATAATGCATCTCATGGGCTAAGGAAGAACAAGTTTCTTGCCAGGGAATCCAAGGTGGTAAATAATCTGTTTGAGAACATCAATTTCACTTTATTCACTCTAAAATCCATGAATTGGGGGAGATTCTCTGCATGTGTGGTGCCAGGAAGAATAGGAAGGAGGGACATCATGGAGGTGGAAGTCCCATCTCCTACTGTCTTCTTGATGATTTTCCACTTCTCTTTGGCCCTGAGAACCATCTCATTTTCATACTTGAGCTATGTATTTTTCCTGACATAGATCTCAAAGCTCTATATTTGTTTTTGGTATTCTGTTTGTTGGGGTAGTAAGTCAGCTTGCCTCTACAGCAACACTTTGGAACTAGTGGGTAGCTATTTTGTTGAGACAACCATATGCTATCTCTGAAACCACACTGACCCTTCAGAAAATTCCTCCCTCTTCCTGACCTGCAAGAATAATAATCACTGCCGACACTTTGGAGCTGGTCTGGGTTCATCCCATTCCATCCAGCACTGCTGGCACCCATGTACTTCTCTGATGGGTCTGAGGACAAACCTACACAGCCTGTGCCAAGACCATTGCCAGTACGTACCTGCATGTGACACCTTGGATTCTTAGGACTGGCCTACATAGGCCATTGCCATCACCATTACCACCAGCACATTCAACCTGGAAGCCTGAGGGTTGTCTTGCTACTGCTATTGCTATCACCCATGCCAGGCACATTGCACAAAGTCTCAAGAACCACTCACTCACCAGGCCCACCACTGCAACTTCCAGCACCACAGGAAACTCCCTGGAGGTACAATAATTTACCCAACTGAAACTGTGGATATTGGTGTCAATGTTTGTTGTCTGGAGGCTCAAAGACCGGCATGCTCATTCCACTGCTGCCACTAACATGTGTTGCAGACTGGCCCATCTAGTACCCCTGTTCCCATCAAAACCTCACAAAAACTTTTACTAACAACCTCAGTCTTAGCAACTGAGGAAATCACAGACCACTGATCCCGACTAGAGACAAAGAAACCATACAGATATTATGCTAGTGTATACACCCAGAATCAAAGCTAAAGTGCTGTATGCAACCAACACTACAGATATATCTATAGAAAAAATAGTGTTCCCCTATGAAAGCCAATCAAGAAGAGGCTGTTACTCCAGACGTGCATATACTAATATAGGGACTCAATAAACATGAAGATGCTAGAAAACATGACACCCCTACAGGACCACAATTATTCTTCAGCAGGAGATTGCAACAAAAATAAAATCTATGAACTTCTAAAAAATTCATAAATATGATATCATAGAAGCTTAGTTAAATATAATAGAGCAAAGATAATCAATACAAAAATCTGAAAAAAATCAGAATATGAATAAGAAATTCACCAGATACCTAGATGTCATGAGAAAGACCAAACAGATATCTTGGTAGTAAAGAATTCAATGAATAAAGTAAAAAAAAAAAAATATTTTCAAAAGCTTCAACGATAGACTAGGTAAGGCAGAAGAAAAAAATTCACCACTTGAGGACTAGATTTCTGAAATAAACCAGATAGAAAATATAATAAATCATCTAAATAAAGCCAGTATTCAATATAACATACCATGTAGTTACCAAAGGTTTGATTCTGAGTATTCCAGAATACTCAAGAAGAAGAGATGGGCAGAGGCATGACAAAAATTTTAAACTAAGCACATGTACCCTAAAACTTAAAGTATAATAATAATAAAATAAAATAAAAAAAGAAAAAAAAATAATAGCTGAAAATTTGTCAAGTCAAGTCTAGCAAGAGATTTAGACATTCAAATAGAGGACCTCAATGATACTCAAATTGACACAACCCCAGAAGTCCTTCTCCAAGGCATACAGTGGTCAAACTGTCAAAAGCCAAAAGTCGTTAATTCTAAAAACAGTAAGATAAAAGCATCGAGTCATGATAATGGAACCCTCATCAGATTAACAGTGATTTTCACTGTATAAACTGTGAAAGAGAGATAAAATCATATATTTAAAGTGTTCAAAGAAAAAAAATCTGCCAGCCAAGAGCACTATCTTCAGCACAGGCGAACTTCAAAATGAAGTAACAATAAAGTTTTTCCCTGAAAAGCAAAAACAGAGAATTCATCACCACAATGACTGCCCCACAAGATATGCTTAAGGGAATTCTGCTCCTGAAAGCAAAAGTACAATATCTACCGTCATGAAAACACAAAAAATTTAAAATACTCCCTAGTACAGCAGACAAATGAAGACTTGAAATGATTTAAATTTTACTATTATAGAAAAATACTAAACCACAATAATAAAAAGTGAGAGAAAAAGAAACAAAGTATATGTAAAACAAACAAAAACAAATAACAAAATGAAGTAATTTCTCACATATGAATAATAATCTTGATTGAAAATTGATTAAATTCTCCACTTGAAAGACATAGACTGGCTGAGTGAATTTTTAAAAAATATCCTAACTATATGCTGCTTACAAGAAACTGACTTCACCTAATAAGACACATATAGACTGAAAATGAAGGGATAGAAGAAAATATCCCATGTAAACAGAAACAAAAACAAGTCGAAATAGGTATATTAACATCAGATAAAATAGACTCTATGTCAAAAACAGTAATGAGAGAAAAAGAAGGTTATTATTTAAGAATAGAAAGATCAATTTAGCATGAGGATATAACAAAACTAAATATATTCCCCCAACACTAGAGTATACCTAGATACATAAAGCTATCATTATGACATCTAAAAGGATAAATAGATTCCAATACAATAGTAGTGTAAACTTTAACACCTGACTCTCAGCATTAAACAGATTATTTAGACAGAAAATCTACAAAGAAATATTGGACTTAATCTTAAGAATAAGGGGACCCAATATACATTATAGACATTTTTATTTAACAGTGGCAAAACATACCATTTTTCTTATTAGCCTGTGGAAGATTTTCTAATACAGACCGTATGTTAGGCCACAAAACAAGTCTCAGTACATTTTGAAAAAGCAGTATACTTTATTTTCATATACCACAATGGATAAAACTAAAAATCAATATTAAGAGGAACTTTGGAAATTGTAAGAATACATGGAAATTAAACAACATGCTCCTGAGCAACCACTGGTTCAATGAAGAAATTTAGAAGAAAATTAAAATGTTTTTGAAATATGACAATGTAAACACAACATACAGCACAAATAGTGCTAAGAGGGGAGATGCTCTGAATAAATTCTTTCATCCAAAAGTAGAGAGATTTCAATTAAACAACCCAGTGATCCACCTGAGGGAACTAGAAAACTAAAAACAAACTGAACCCCAAATTAGTGAAAGGAAAAATATAGTAAAAATAAGAGCAGAACCAAACAACTAGAAACTAAAAAAAAACAAACCCAAACTCAATGTAATGAAAAGTTGGTTTATTGAAACAATAAATAAAATTCCTAAGTGTCTAGCTAGGCTATACTATATATGTGTGTGTATATATATATATACACACACACACACGTATATATATATATGCTATACTATATATATAGTATAGATATTGTGTATCTATACATATATAAAAATATATATATAGACAGAAAAAACTGAATGAAACAAAATCAGAAACTAAAAAGAAGATATTACAACTTATATCATAGAAATACAACTGTATATTTTGGACAATAATACACTAATGAAACCGTATGTTTTGAACAAGTATACACTATAATTGAACACCATGGAAAAAGATTAATTCCCTGACATATACAACTCACACAAAATGAGCCAGGAAAGAAGGGTAAACCTGAACAGACTAATAATGAGTAAAGAAATAGAATCAGTAATAAAAACGAAATCTCCCAACAAAGCAAAGTCCAGGCCTAGATGGTTTCACTGATGAATTCTACCAAACTTATAAGGAAAAAGGAAAAGCATTCCTCATCAAACAATTCCAACAAATTCAGAGAAGAGAATACTTCCTAACTAATTTTACAATGCCAGGAATACCCCAATGCTAAAAACATACACGAACACAACAACAATAACTATAACAAAAATTAGAGGTCAGTATTTCTGATGAACACAGACACAAAAATCCTCAAGAAAATGTTAGCAAACCAAATCTAAGAACACATCAGAAAGATAATTAGCAATAATCAAGTGGTATTTATCCCAGGGATGCAAGAATGGTTCAGCATACATGAATCGATAAATGTGGTACATCACATTAACAGAATAAAGACAAAACCAAATAAGCATATGAATAGATGTAGGAAAAAGCATTTGATAAAAGTTAGCATCCATTTATGATAAAAGTTCCCAACGAACTACACAAAGAAGGAATATACCTCTATATAATGTAACCACATGTGACGAACTCACACCTAACATACAGAATGGGGAAAACTGAAAGCCATTTCTCTAAAAACTGAAATAAGACACCACTCAGTCAACATTTTACTTTATGTCATGTCCTAGCGAGAAGAATCAGGCAAGCAAAAAAAATAAAAGCCATCCAAATTGGAAAAGAGGAAGTTAAATTGTTCCTGTTTGCAGACGACATAGTCTTATATTAGGAAAAACACACTGGGGCCTTTCAGAGGGTAGAGGGTGGAAGGAGAAAGAGGATCAAGAAAAATAACTAATGGTACTAGGCTTGATACCTGGGTGATGAAATAATCTGTACGACAAACCCCCATGACACAAGTTTACCTATGTGACAAACATACAGTTGTACGTCTGAACTTAGAATAAAAGTTAAAAAAATTGTTAACATAAAAAAAGAAAAATCTAAACTCCACCAAAAAAATTTAGGACTATTCAATAACATTGCAGGATAAAATATCAATATGCAAAAATTAGTAGCATTTCTATATACTAGCAATAACCCAGCAGGAATGAAAAATCAGCTATGAAATTCCCTTTACAAAGCTATAAAAAATTAATTACTCAGTAATACATTTAAGCAAGCAGACTGATGTTTACCAGCTATATGACTGAAAATGTCAGGCAATCATATTGAGCTTTTGTTTTTTCATCTGAAGAGTAAACATAATGCAAGGAATTATTAAAGGGCTACCATAGGAATAAAAGAGCTAATGGTATAAAACATTATTAGTATTATTAGTATTGCATAGTATCTATGCAATAGTGTAAGTCAGAAACTGAAATGGCAGAAATCTACTTTTAATAACCATTTACATTTAATGTAATTATTGGTATTTTTGAGCCATTTTTGTTTTTCATATTTATACTACTTTTGATTGTTTTTCTTTTTCCTGATCTATGGATTCCTTGAAAATGTTTTTTGATTCCATTTTAGTTGATCTGTAAATTTTTTGCGTGACTCTCTGTACAGCATTGTTAGTGGTTGCTCCGTGTTACATTATGCATACATAGCTTTTCACAGCCTAGTGCTGTGCACATTTTACCCTATTCAGTAAAATATGGAAACCTTGCTTTCCTGTCTTTTTAACTGCTCCCCCTTTCCCACTGTTTGTAACAGAATCATATTAAATATATGTCTATGTGCATTTAGTGCCACAGTAAATTTTGTCATTTTTGCTTTGACATAAATTTATTGTCTTCCAGGTTTGCAGCTCAGAAATCTGAACTGGGTCTCACTGCGTTAAATCCATGTCTCAAGGCTGAGTTCCTTCCTGGAGTCTCTAGAAGAAAAGCTCATTATCTTGCCACATTCCTTGGCCCTCTTCCATCTTTAAAGCTAGCAATGGCCAGTTGAGCCATTTGAAACTCATGCAGAAAACGTGAGAAGAAAGATATTTTGTGTTTACCTACTTTGTATTTCCAATTTTTGTTTTTGGCTTGTTGTCATTGTTGTTGTTGTTGCTCATTCTTGTTGTTGTTGCTCATTCTTGATGTTCCAGAAAAATCCTATTCTATTTTTTCCTTTATGATTAGTGACCTTCATAGAACCATTTTATAAGATAGGTCTGTTGGAAAGAAATTCTCTTAGATTTTTTTTTCTGTCTTCTAAGAATGCCTGTATTTTCTCTTTATTGATGAGTAGTTATATTGGACATAAACATCTGGTTGACATTTTTTTTCTTTCAGCACTTTGAATATTTTAGCTACATCCTATTGGTTATTCTGCTCTCTGGTAATAACACCACTGTTACTCACATTGTGTTTTCCCTATAGCTATGGTGTCATTTGTTTCTTGCTGCTTTCAAAACATTTTTTTTAGTTTTTAGAAATTTGACTACAGTGTTGCTTGCATGGATTTTCTTGGGTATATTCTGGTTGGCAGTTGCTCATCTTCTTGCATCTGTAGGTTTATGCCCATTGCAAGTTTGGAGAATTTTCAGCCATTATGTCTTTGAGTTCTCTCTCAATAGCATCCTCATTGTTCTTCCCTTCTGAAGCTCAGATTTTATCATTATCACATTATTTGTTATAACCTTTCTTGTTCATAACAGTATTTAAAATTTTACCCTGTGTTCGAGTATACAGTTTCTATTAATCCAGCCTCAAGAATACTGACTCTTTCCTCCATCATTTCCTTTCTGTTAGTGATCACACCAAATAATATTTTATTTAATTTTTTACACTACATATCTCAGTATCAAAATTTCTATGTCATTATATTATATAGTTTCTTTTTTCTGCTGGGAATTTTTTTTCCATTTAAATTGAGAGTGTACACATTGACCTCATAATGGATGTTTGTAACACCTGCTTCAGTGAGATTGAAAATCTCACCGTTTTAATATCCAGATTGTTTCAAGGTTATCATCTCTTGATTATTTAACTCCTTGAGAATTGGTCGATTGTTTCTGATTTTATAAAGTATGTTGAGTAATTTTCTATTTTATCCCACACACAGGACTTTCTCTGTTTACAGTACACAATAAGTTCAATGAAGGAAGTTTTGGACATTGGAGGGTAGAGGCCTTCTTGCTTAATTGAGATCCACTCACTGGTTCAGATAGCAGGGGATTTTGTCCCACTAACATTTTTCTACTTGGAGCTTCTGCCTGGATGATCCTTTATGGCTCTTACGAGATAAAACTATAAGTATATTTAACATCATAGCATACATAGTGTGCACTGAAGGGGTCCCAAAAAATTCCTATTCACAAAGTCTTTTTTAGTTTTCTTTTGTGCATCATTTGCTCAAATCTCAATTGAATTTGAGGACTTCATTTTCCTTTCTTCCCTACAGTAACAACACAGTTTAACACCTGCTTAATTAGAGTCTATTACAGTACCCGGGTAGGCCTGCTGTCTTCTGACTGGGGATTTATAGAAAGTGGATAATACGGCTGAGGTAAAATCAACGACTACAGGCCTGGCGAAATGGCTCATGCCTGTAATCCAACTACTTTCAAGGGCAGAAGTGGGAGAATTCCTTGACACAAGGAATTTGAGATATGCTTGGGCAACATAGTAAGACCCAGTCTTTATAAAAAAATTACAAAAGGATCCTGGCTCGGTGGTTTGCACCTGTAGACTCAGCTATTTGGGAGGGTGAGCTGGGAGTATAGATTGAGCCTGGGAGAGCAAGGCTACTGTGAGCCATGATTACGCCACTGCACTCCAGCCTAAGAGAGAGAGCAAGTCAAAGTCTGAAAAAACAACAATGAAAACCACCCAAAAAACAAAAAAGACTAGGGCCACCAAAAAGGCTTTCTTTTTCACTTGACTTCTTGCTCCAGGGTTTACCTTTTTAAAGTGCACCTCCCAGTGTCTAGGGAGTCTACAGACTTGGAGTCTCTTCCTTTCTTGCCTCGGTATCACAAGTGGCTCCATCCTATATCCTTCAGCACTCCTTCCCCATTTCCCACAGAGCCAAGTAGAATAGTGATTTGAACACATATAAGCAATTTTAATCCCTACCCTCCTTGATGCTTTACAAAATTTTGGGATGGATCTGTTAAGCTTTTGTCTCATTTGAGTCAGGGATATCTCAGGCCCAGCTCAAATCCTTAAAGGAACTGAGATCAGAGTAGAGGAATAGAAGTGATAAGGGAGATATGTATAAAGTGTCTTCATGCAAGTAAACAAGACACATTTAATTTCAAATTCAAGCAGTGCAGACATTGCTCAAAACCAATTGAATAAACATTTGAATTTTAGGTCTCCCCAAAGGTCTACAACAGTGATGGAGTATCTTTAATTCTTCTACCTCTTGTTCTCTATGGAAAAAAGCAAATGTAAAGGTGTCATTTGGTAAGTTTGTTTCAATTCTACCATCAGATACTCAGTTTTCAACCATTTCCCTATCCTACTCATTAATGAACAGCATAAGGGAAATTTTCATACATTTTGGTCAACATACCAGCTATTGGTGTGTCCTTTTTACATTAACTGAAGAATAATAAATAGTCTTTACAGATGTTACGAGATTACAAAACAAAAAGCATCCAAAGGATCTAAATTAGGGTGTAATGTGGATGCCTAATGGTTTTCTATCAGAACTCTCACCAATTGCCCTGTCTGATGAGAGAAATGAGCAGGAGCTCTGTCGTGGTGAAGGACTCTGCTGAAGCTCCCCCAGGCATTTCTCTACTAGAGTTCTGGCTTTCTCAAAATATTCTCAGAATAAGCATATATTGTCCTTCTCTGGCCCTTCAGAAAGTCAATAAGCAAAATGCCTTGAGCTTCCCAATAAACTCTTACAATTACCTTTGCACTTTCCTCATCCACTCTTCTTTGACTGGACCACTTCCACCTCTTGGTAGCCATTGCTTTGATTGTGCTTTGTTTCATGATTGTACTGATAAAGCCATGTTATATCTGCTGTCACAATTCTTTGATGAAATGCTTCAGGATCTTTATCCCCTTATTTAAATTTTCAGGGAAGCTTCTTCTCTTGTCTGTAGCTGCTCTGGTTGCCATAGTTTTGGCATCCACAGAGTGAAAAATTTGCTCAACATTAATTTTTCAGTTAGAATCATGTAAGATGAACCAATTAAAAAACATGAAGGGTTGGCTATTGTTTGTACTCTTAATCTTCATTCCTCTTCTATCATGGTATCAACAAGATACATTTGATATGAATACTCTGTCACCGTAGACTTGAGGTTCAGCACCATTTCATCCCTTCTTGAAATAACATATCTACTTGTGAACTGCTGATTTCTTCAGCCATTATCCATATGAACTTTTCAGAAAGCATCAGTGGTTTTACCTTCTTTCATGCAAGCTTAACCATAAATTTTCTCTTTGTTTTCACTTTAATTTTAGAAAAATGTATTTTGCTCTTATAGGGGATGTTTTGAAACTCCTGTCTTATTTTTCATTATTCCTTGAAATAGCTCCTATTCAGACATCTTACAGCATATCAGTTTAGGTTCATTTTGATGCCAAAAAATGTGGAATCCTTTTATGGTATTTCTTAATATAACATACATTTTCATGAACTTTTTAAAGACCTACTACATTACAGGAAGGCCTTTCAATAATATAAGAATTGCTACAGGTAACATTGAATTTTCTAGTTGATTAGGCAGATTAACTTTCTGTTTTTCTGCTGACATAAATAGTGATGTGGGTTGAGAAGGAATATAATACCAGTGGTCAAATATTCTGCAGCTATGTGGAAAGTCAAACAGTTGCAACTAAGTGTCACATGCTTTAAGGGAGTCATAGAGTAGCTGCTTGGGCCTAGCAGGTACCCTGATGTTAACAGGATGATTGTCTCTGGTTTCACCAAACATTACTTCAAAAGAGTTACTGGACATGAGCAGTTTTGCCTAGGTAGCTTACAGTAGACCTTCAAGTAGGTAAGGAAGGTCAGAGAGAATGAGCAGAGGTGAATGCCAGTCAGATGTGCCTCTTTGAGTGGGTAGCTGAGGAAGTTCCAGTCCTGGTGGGAGGCAGGCTTCTCCTTGTCTCCTGAGTCCAGGAAGAGAACAGGTGATGCTTCCATATATCACTCAACTCACACCCTATTCCTGACCCTCTCTAATGTCAGAAATGAGTGAGAGAGATTTGTGTTTCAGGCAAGAATAAATATTGGGTATCAACCTACCAGACAACCAAAACAGAGATTACCAAAGAGCTGAAGGAGACACTGTGACTGACTTAGAATGGAGTCAAAGCCAGGAGCAGGACTGCAGCAGGCGCTTAGGCATCTGTACAGGAGTCAAGGACCTCAGCAATCCACCTGTCATTTAAAATGAATGTAAACATACCGTGTACCAAGTAGAATCTTGATTTCCACCTTCTATAACCTGTTCTCTTTAATATCAACAATCATTAATTTCAGACCAAGAAACCAGAATATATTGAGAAACACATCAATGAAACAATACATTTCCCAGAACTAAAGGTTAATTCTCCATATCGAAAGGGCCCAATGATTATCCAAAAGCCCAAATTTAACATTTTCAGGGCTCAGTGCAAGAAGACAATTAGTGGCTAACATACTCCAACTCTTAATAATCACACATTATAAAGCAAGCTAGACTCTAGGTTTAGATCACATTTCCATGTAAGTCCTTCAGCCTGTTGCTTGGAGATTGCTCATATAAGCTGGCATAGAGACTAAAGGTGTCTGTGTTTCCCTGTAACAATCCTGACCCCGCAATCTGAGAGGTGGGAGGAGGGGGGCACAGGGCTGTCTGCTAGAGAAGCACACTAGACGTTGGGCTGGAGCCCAGGACTGATCTGCCCAAGCTTCGAGAGCCCCTGCCAGGCATGTTATGCTCCCCTATGCCTCACTTCTGAGTTTGGACTAGTGGCAATGTCTACACAGCTCCCAATGATAACCCTACTGAGCATAGGACTGGCAGAGAATAATAACCAGAATATACAAACAAACAACTCAAAAACAACAAAATAGTCCATTAAAAAGTGAACAAGAGATAGAAATGGACATCTTTTCAAATAAGACATACAAATAATCAACAGTATGTGAAAAATACTCTATATCACTAATCATCAGAGAAATAAAAATCAAAACCACACTATCACCTTACCCTATTCAGAATGGCTATGATTAAAACAAACAAACAAACAAAACAGATGTTGGGATGGATGTGGAGAAAGGAGAGCTCTTATACACCCTGATTGGAAAGTAAATAGTATAAACTCTATGGAAAACAGTATGATTTCTCAAAGAACTAAAACTCGATTACTATTCAATCTAGCAATCTTACTACTGTATCTATGCAGAGGAAATGAAATCAGTATATGAAAAATAAATCTGCACTTCTATGTTTATTGAAACACCATACACAACAGCAAAGATATGGCATCAACCTAAGTAACCATCAATGGATACTAATGGGTTTGTAGGTAAAGAAATCGTGATATATACACAATGCAATACTACTCTGCAAAAAAAAAAAAAAAAAAAAAAAAGAAGGAACGAAATCACTCCTTTTGTAGCAATACGAATGGAACTGGATGTGACAGATAATATGCTATGTGACAAAGGCCAGATACAGAAAGTCAAGTATAACATGTTGTCACTAATAAGTAGGTGCTAAAATGTGTTTACATAGATATAGAGGGGAGAACTATAGACACTGAAGCCTTGGAAGAGTGAGTGGGTGGGAGGGAATTAAGAGTTAGACATTAATTAGTAAATGCAATATTTGTTATTCTTGTTATGGAAACCCTAAGGCCATGATTTAACCATTATGCAATGTATACATGTAACAAAATTATCTTTGAACCACATATATTTATAAAAATAAAGTTTAAAAATAAATTGAGGGTGACCGGGTGCGGTGGCTCACGCCTGTAATCACAGCACTTTGGGATGCCGAGGCGGATGGAACACGAGGTCAGGAGTTCGATACCAGCCTGACCAACATGGTGAAACCCCGTCTTAACTAAAAATACAAAAATTAGCCAGGCATGGTGGTGCATGCTTGTAATCCCAGCTACTCAGGAGGCTGAGGCAGGAGAATCGCTTGAACCTGGGAGGCGGAGGTTGCAGTGAGCCGATATCTTGCCACTGCAGGCCAGCCTGGGTGACAGAATGAGACTCCATCTCAAAATAAATAAATAAATAAATAAATAAATAAATAAATAAATATAATTGAAGGCAAATTTAAGCATATTTTTTCAAAAAAGAAAAAGAGGGAGATGGAGTAGGAGAAATAAAAAAGAAGGAAGAGGAGGAGGAGGAGGAAGAAAGAGCCTGCATTTCTAATTGTCATAATTAAATTTCCATAAGCAGATACTATTTTTTTTAAAAAAAACCTAATTAGAATTTTACGGGTCTGATAAGAAAGAAAATGCTAAAAAAAATATGAATACTCAGTGTGTTCCTATTTTGTTTGAAAGCCTAGAAAAAAACAATATCAGAGACTATTCTACTTAGATTTTTTGGACAAAGAAATCTTAAGATTTTTAACTCGGGAACATTTAATTCCTCACAATTTCATGTCTGCTGTTCTTTCCTAAAATCATTATTGTGAAGCAGACATGACTATATCCACTAGTGTTTCATGTATGTGATCTGCTTAGTCTTCATCCTTTAGGGGAGCCATTTTGATTATTCAAAAATTTAGAAGAGGAAACTTAGGCTCTGAGACTTAAGTAGCTTCCTATGAGTCCAGAGTTAGCAAGACATAGTTCTTAAACTGCAATCTGAGAGATTCCAAATTCTTTGCCCATTCAAGTCAGGCTGCCTCTGATGAAATCCATTTAGGTTTTCTTAAGAATAGTAAGACTCATAGGCAGGGACAGAACTGATCAGTGATAAAATATGGGAAAATAGGTCTAGTGGCTTCTGGGGAATAGAGGCATAGAACCATACTCATTTCCCTAGAAAACAAAATCGGTTACTTTTGAACTTGTTAAAATTTCTCTCAGCTTCTGGGATTTTCTTTCATTGGTATTGTTTTGCTTACATTCATAAGCTGACTAGAATATCAAGAAATGACCTGAAAATAATTGTACAACTTAAATTCGAGCTATAGAAGACAGAGAAGGAAAGAAACAGTGGAACTCCTTCCCCAGGTGGATGACTTAATAAGGATAAGGAGGAGAGAAGCTTGCTGGAAACATCAAGGAGAAGGGGTCCTGGATATTCTTACAATGTGAACATGGGTCTCAGATTCTAGAGTCCCAAACACTCAGAAAGAGACACCACCAGCAGAAATTGCAAGCTGATTGTTTTATTGGTATACTGAAGTTAGAGCATGATGCCATGTTTCACGGCATTTGAAACACTGTTATCTTCTTATTCACTTCCTGAAAAAGACAAGCAAACAAGGAAGATTACAGACAACACTTGACATGGCAGGAAATGTCTAATCCCTCACTGGGGGTTACTGCAGTGATGGAGATGCAAGCCCCTACTCTTGCCCTCTATCCCTTCTACAGCCCCCTTCTCCTTAGTAATATTTTCTTTGTTCACTCTTTAAGCCATTGCACATAATGTGATTTAAAGTGTTGCTTAGATGAGAAAGAGAAACAATTATTGTTATGTGTTCATGCTTTGCTGCTGTTGGTTATGTAAGGGCTATTTTTACAAAGATGGGCACTGCAACATATCATATAATAGTGAGAATGTGAATCCAGCCTTAATATCCAGTGACAGGGATTGGTTAAATAGATTACGGAACAACCAAACAATAGAATAGTATACAATTGTAAAAACAAACTAACCAATAAACACTGAAGAGATCTAAATGAACTCATGAGAAAGTTTTCTAAACAATAAATTTTTCCAGTGAGTAAGACACAAATCTGAATATACAGTATGGTATAAGTGCTTGTAATAAAAGCATTATATATATTTATGTAGCAATATATATTTCAAAAAGTAGATTCCAAAGAGTAAAAGGTGGGGGTTTTGAGAAGGATAGAAGGGAGGAAAGATGAGTTAGGCTCTTACTATTTAGCTCTGTACATTTCGGTTCAGTGAGATTAGTTTTTGTTAGCTTAAGCATGTATGACTTTAAATGTAAGTATACTAAAAATGAGATACCATTTTACAACTGAAAGTTCAAGGACCACTTAGCAGGAATACTGGACCTGAAAGCCTGATGTGAGGCAGGACTGAGCAAAGCATGTTCAGGTGAAAACTTTAAATGGGAGTCTGAGTTTGAGGAAAGAAAATAGAGAGAGCCAAAGGGGGAACATGGTTCTATGTCCTCATTGTCAACCCTACTTAAGACATGTAATTTGAAGATAGTGATTCTCAAAATCAGAATTGCCTTCAAGAGCTTCTGTAAAACACAGGGTCACAGGGTCTTGATACTCTATACAAGAATATCTGAATAACAATTTTTAGAAATGTGTTCCAGGACAGGGCAATATTAACAGGTTTTCAGAGGATTCATTGGCACAATGAAGTTGGAGAACTGTAGCAGTTGGAGCCTTTGATGGATAATAAACTGGAATCGTACCTGTCATTGAATCCTAGATTACTGAGGAGACTGCCCCTGTGGAGGTCCTTGTGGGCGGCCCCCTTGGGGAGGTGGTCCCTGGGGCTTTCCAGGAGGAGGTGGGGGAGGACCTTGCTGATGGCCTCCCTGTTGGGGTGGTCCTTGTGGCCTTCCTCGAGGAGGACGGGGATGGCCTCCCTGTTGGGGTGGTCCTTGTGGCCTTCCTTGAGGAGGAGGGGGATGGCCTCCCTGTTGGGGTGGTCCTTGTGGCTTTCCCTGAGGAGGTGGTGGACCTTGTTGCTGCTGGCCTCCTTGTTGGGGTGGTCCTTGTGGCTTTCCCTGAGGAGGTGGTGGACCTTGTTGCTGCTGGCCTCCTTGTTGGGGTGGTCCCTGCTGAGGGCCATCATCCTGGTTCCCATCACCAGCAGAGGGTTGAGATTGCTGTCCTCCCAAAGGTGGTCCCTGACGCTCCTCATCTAGGAACTGCTCAGAGTCTCCTCCATCTGTGTGAGTTGAAACAAGAAGAGCTGAGCTCATGCTGGAAAACCCTCCTGTCTTCATACCTCTCTGTCTTCACCACACGGCCGGCCCCTCTCTGCCTGACCTGCCTCTCAACTCCCAACCTCCCCCCTTCCCAAGGCTTCCTAATTAGAACTCCTCTTAATCCACATAAGGGTGATGAAAAATTGAATTTCTTTACTCATGGTCCCCAGAATCAAGGTTGGGAGAAAACTGTTTGTATCTTTGGGGCATTGGTATTAGCCAATTCCTGACAAGAAAATGGTGATAAGAAGACACTGGAGAACTCATCAATTTTTCAGGGAAAAATGGAGACAGAGTTTACTGAGAATTTATTGGGATTTACCTGATATTACGAGGGGAACATCTTCCTGGCTGACATCTAGAAAAGAAGTACAGGATGATGGGAAAAGTTACTTCCTGAATCATTCAAGGCTCATAGTGTTCTACGAGGATAAAGGACCTCTGATCACACCCTGTGCATCCCCTTTGTGATCTCATCAGCCACTCTCTGATGCTACTGGAAGTGGAAGAAGATGTAAGGGAAAGCAGTATTGTTACTACACTGAGCGTCAACCAGGAACTCAACATAGAAGGGCCCCTGTTTGTCCTCTTTTGATTCCCCAAGCCTTGATGAGGAATGAAGATACAATAGGTCTTCTGATCCTCGGCATGAAAATTCTGCAGTCCCATCTGTTTTCTCATCCTCCTCTCTTCCCTCCACTTTCCTCCTCTATAGCATTTGCCTGTAAACCCTTAGCGCTTATTTAGTTAAACTGCTCTGAGTATTTCAATGACATATTTGGGGATTCTTCTGCCCTCTTTCATCTGTAAATATGTTGTTTATGTTTGCAAGCCTTCTCAACAGGAGCCACCAGACATAGCCACTTGGATATAATCTTACGCATGCCATTCCCAGCACATTGAAATACTACATTCAGGAGACAGAAAAATGACAATGTTTCACTCTGGTTATTCTCTAACTCTATGTAGACAGAGACAAGTGTTTACCCAATTCTCTGCCTCGGCAGTAGCTCTGACATGTGTTTATCTCCTTCATTAATGCTCATCCACTGTACAGCAAGGCCACCATCATCCCTGTCTACTGGGATCAGTACAGGATCTTCACAGCTGTACTTCCCTGAATCTGTCTTGCATTCTCCACATCCTTCACAGCAGTCCCATGTCTCTATATAATGCAAATCTCACTCTCTCACACCCCTAGTACGAATTCTTTATTGGATTCTATTTGTGCAACAAATAAACTATGAGGCCTTGATGAGGAATGGAGGTACAATAGATCTTCTGATCCTCAGCATGAGAACTCTGCAGTCCCATCTGTTTTCTCATCCTCCTCTCTTCCCTCCACTTTCCTCCTCTATAGCATTTGCCTGTAAACCCCAATCAGAGTCACAATATCTTCCCCCAATTCATCTTACCTTCATTTAAATCCTGAGCTGAGCTGAAGGCCAGCAGGGCCACTGACAGCAGAATCAGAAGCATCTTGCAGGAGGCTCTGGTGTCACTCCCAACTTTGTGCTGGGAGAAACGTGTCAGCTCCCTTTATAAAGACAAGCAGGACAATGGTGCATTTGAGCTCCCTACCAGGTGGGCCTCCTCGCCTCAGAGACTGGCTTCTGCTTTGCTTACTTCAGGTCAAGTGTATCCCTCATTTCTTTTGGGACTCTAGCTCAGCAGGAAGGGTTGGGTAGGATATTGTTTGTGTCTAATTCCTAAAAGGCACAACTATGACTTGGACAAATGTTTTGACGGAACTGTGTCCAAGCAGTCGGCACAGTGTCAGGATTGAACTTTAGACATCTTTTGGTTTTCAATCTGTTTGGAAAGACTGCTATTCTGCTTTTCACTGTGCTTTTCATTTCTGTGTATGTGAGTTTGTGTGGGTGTGTCGGGGGGTGGACACTGATCCTACAGCTAACAGTGAAGATGGTCAATATCTCTGACTGTTTTGATAGCCTCTTTCCATCTCTCATGATGTGTGTGCGTGGATATTTTCACATTTAGCTAAATTTTTCATGTAACAGAGATGGTCTTGCTTATCTGTGAGATGTGTGAGGACAGCACACTCCCAGGCACACATATATGAGAGAAAGGTGCTGGCAGCCTGCTCAGGCTACAAGAATTGTCCAAACTTCTGTGAATCTCACTACACTCAGGCAAGCCTTGGTGCTATACAACACAGGCAAGCTAAAATATTTGTATTTTAAAAATATCTTTAGGGTTTATTAAAGCAAAACTGAACTCAGAAACCACCAAGGAATTTCTAGACCTGAACAAACTGAATATATGGTTCCCTAAGTGAGCCACACGATGTCATATAGCTAAGACCTCCACTTTCTCCAGAATATTCCATAGAATTCATCCTCTACTTTATTTCTTCTAATAAATATTGTAATTGTCATCACTGATAATTAAATGGCCACAATTATACATTCATCTAAGATAATTTGTAATACCTGTCCAAGCCTCAATTGCCTTGATTGGTCTTCTGCTTTTACTCAGTAATTATGTCACCTGTTTCATCAGAGTGTTCTTTCTCACCAAGGATTTTTATCTGTAATATTCCAATACTCATTCTTTCTCATTCTTTTTCTCGCACTTATTTGTTGAAATTTTGTATTCTGAGTCTACCTTGCCATGTTTACTTTTCGTCCTATATCTTTTTTTTTCTCCCTACAAAGGTGTCCTTTATTTATCCTTCTAAGTAAAGGTGTGTGGTACTCCTCACTACCTTTACTTTCATTTTTGTCTGTATAATTTGACAATAAAAAATTAAGTTTCCAAAAAGCCCTGTCAGGGTCCTGGTTTGGTAGCTCTCTCCTCAGCTGCTGATTGCTCCAAAAATTAAGTTTCCAAAAAGCCCTGTCAGAGTCCTGGTTTTGTCGCTCTCTCCTCAGCTGCTGATTGCTCTGTGATACCTAGAAATTCCCTGCTCATCAATTCATAAAATATACTACTCAGAATCACCAGCTGCACTTTCCATTTCAGACCTTGAGTAGGTCTTGTGTAATTTTTCACTTTTTGTGCATGGTTAGTCTTTATTTGAGGATAGCTTGGTTGGAGGCATGGCTGAGAAGCCAGGTGACAGAAAATCATAAAGACAAGGCCCTAGACAGGTGTGCATGAGTGGATCCTGTGCTGGGCATATGAGGGTCTGGTATGGCTCTTCTGAAAAGTTGCAGATAATAATACAAGAAGGCTTCCTAGTAGATTAGATTTTGCTACAGACGACATTGTTCTTGTAAGGGACCCAGGCAGATTGGTATTTTCCCTGGAATAAATATAGACCTATTTCAGGGGGGAATGCATTCTTAATTGGCAATTCTTCTCTGGCCCTGTGGGAAGTAGATCAGCTCTAGCTGGGCCGTATGAGTTGTATCTCAGGCACAGAGTAGTTGCTTGAGCCCAGCAGCTCCCAATGCGTTATGGAGATTATTGTCTCTGGTTTCACCAGGTACTGTTTCCCATAGGACCTGGAGATGAGCAGTCCTGCCTCGGTGACTTCAGGTCAACCATCATGTCAAAAAGGAAGGTCAGAGAAAAGGAACAAAGAGGAGTGCCAGGCAGATATTGCCTGATGATGTGGGGGACTGAGGAAGCTGCAGGCCTGGTGCAAGACAGGTTTCTCCTTGGCAGCAGAGTACAGGAAAAGAACAGGAAATCCTCCTAAAGGTCACTCAGCTCAGGCCTGCTCCCTAACCTGCTCCAATGTCAGCAATCAGCGAGAGACTAGTGTATCAGGAAAGCATAAATATCAGCTATGCTCTCACTAGACACATCAAAAACAGAGGTAATGGAAGAGCTGAAAGGGACACTGTCTGTGAGTGAAGGTGGGTGAAAGGGAGACGCAGGACTGCTGCAGGAGCTTGGGTACCTAGAGGTGGGTGGCAGCCCTCAGCACCACACTTGCCTTCTACTATAGATGTTCATATTCTGAGGCCCTGAAGGGCCAGTCTTCAACATATGAAATTTTAGGATTCATCTCTCATAACACATCCCAACATTTTCTCGGTCACTGACAGGTGTTTACCTAGTGGTTCAAAAATCCTCGCTCCCTCCAGGAACTTATGCATTAGCCGATCTAATTGCCTCCACTTTCAAAATACGTCCCAAATATGACCACTTGCCTGATCTTTACTAGAAGGTGATTGTTCAGCCATGATGCTCTCTCCTGGAGGACTTTACCAGCCTCCAGCTGGTCTTGGTAATGTTCTTCCCCCAGCTCATCCCATATCAGTTCCCTCACAACAATCAGAGTGATCATTTAAAAGTAGAAATTAGGTTATATCACATTTGTGCTTCAAATCTCCTGTTTTTTCTTCTGCACTTGTGATAAGATCCAAATTTCATGCCTCAGCTCTTTCACACCCACATGCCTCACTCTTTTTTGAAAACCAGGAAGCTCTCTGAATGGAACAGAAAGTAGAATCTTCTTCGACTTCACCATGCTCTAGTTTGCCTGGAACACTAAAGATGGTTTGCCAGGAAAGATGAACATTGACAGAGGGAATAAACTTCTCTGAGAGTCAGTGAGTTTCATTGGGTCGCTGTGGTCTGGCAGTGTTATGAATTGGCAGAATTATTCTATTAATTGCACCAACTAAGCATTCTGATAATACAGTTAGCAAATAAACACAATAGTCTCTGAGACTTCAACTTGCTTTGACTTGTCTAAAAAGTTTGGTGACACTATTATGGCCAATTAACTATTAAAAATATCTTCTATATTTTTAAATTTGATGTTAGTGGTCCATAAATATATATATTTCACAATTAATTTAGCATATTTCTTTTTTTTTTTTTTGAGATGGTGTCTTGCTCTGTCACCCAGGTTGGGGTGCAGTGGCATGATCTCAGCTCACTGCAACTTCCACCTCCCGGGTTCAAGCAATTCTCCTGCCTCAGCCTCCCAAGTAGCTGGGATTACAGGTCCCTCGCCACCATGACTGACTAATTTTTTCCCATCTCTACTAAAAATACAAAAAAAAAATTATATCTAAAGAAATTAAGTCACATGGCTAGGGTCACTGTAGTAAATGAGGAAAAATTAAGTTGATTTTCTCTTCTCTTTGTAATTCCAGTTTAACCGGATGTTGTCGATGTTGTTTTCAATTTAGAAAATATAGCAAATTGTTCATTAGCCATGAGTATCACTCTGCTATCCACCACTTTCTAAGAAGGCGCTTATTTTAGAACAAGGCTAACACTAAATTACAGGAAATTAAGTAATTGTGGCAAACTAGAGAAGCATAGTATGTATAATAGGTCTTACTCAGTTAGATCCACCTGTCAAGGCTGAGTCCCTTTCTGGAGTCTCTAGAGAAGCACCCATTTTTTGTCCACATTCCTTGGCCTTCTTCCATCTTCAATGCCAGCAATAGCCACTTGAGCCTCCCATCACATAGCATCACGTCGCCCTTGCACTGACTCTTCTGCCTCCCTCTTCTGCAGTTAATGACCTTATGGTTACATTGAGTCCACCTAGATAATCCAGGATAACCTTTCTAAATTCAGGTCAATTGATTCGCAAATGTAATTTCCCTTTGTCATGTAAGTTAATATATTCACTTGTCTGAGAATTAGGAAGTGTGTGACTTTGGGAGACTGTTAATCTTCATAGAACACACAGGATGGACACCTTACCCATCTAGACCTGGTTTGGCTCAGTGAGAGTTGGAGAGACTCACCCAGGCTTCTTCCAGATATTTGCATGAGAATATGAATGAGTTTATGTATAATTAGTTGTTATACAAATATTTGTGACTTAAAGTATATATCTATGCAAAAGCGTAAATCACAAACTGAGATGGCAAAAATTTACTTTCAATAACCATTGACACTTAATGCATTTTTTGATATTTTAGAGCTGTCATATTTTTTGTTTTTTATTTATACTACTTTTGATTGTTTTCTTTTTCCTGATCTCCTATGGGGCCACTGAAAGTGTTTTATAATTCTATTTTAGTTGATCCGTATAATTTTTGAGTGTATCTCTCTGAACAGTGTTTTTAGTGATTCTTCTATGTTTTACTTTACATGTACATAGCTTATAATCTAGTGGTGTACACTTTTTACCAGTTTTAGTGAAGTATGGAAACCTTACATCCCTTTATAATTTTTAGGTCAAAATGAATTTATTATTTTTCAGTTTTGTAGGTCAGAAATCTGAACTGAGGTTCACTGAGTTAAATCCATGTGTCAAGGCTGAGTTTCCTCCTAGAGGCTCTAGAGAAGAATGTCATTTTTCCACATTTCCTGTCTCTCTTCCATCTTCAATGCTAGCAATGGCTGGTTAAAACATATGAAGAAAACTCAAGTGAAAAAGGAAGATATATTGTGTTTGCCCACTTTCCCCCTTTCTCTTATTTTTACTTCATTCTTGATGTTCCACAAATTTCTCTTCTATTCTTTCCTTTATGTTTAGAGAACTTCATTTGGCTATTATTTAAAGATAGGTTTGTTGGAAAGAAATTCTCCTAGGTTTCTAGCTTTTCTTTTTTTCTTAGAATGCCTGGATTTCCTTTACATTAATGAAGGATATTTTTATTGAACATAAACATCTGGTAGACCATTTCTACTTTTGAGCACTTTAAATATTTGTGCTCCTTTCTACTGTTATTTCTGGTTTCTGGTGATAATAACCACTATTATTTATATTGCATTTTCCCTATAACTATGATGTCATTTCCTTCTTTCTGCTTTCAATATTTTGTCTTTAATTTTCAGAAATTGGACAATGAATTTTCCTGGAATGGATTTCATTGGTTGTATTCTGGTTGGGATTTGCTCAGCTTCTTGAATCTGTAGGTTTATGCTCTTTGCTGTGTTTGGAAAATTTTTGATCATTATTTCTCTGAGTCCTTTTTCAACATCAACCTCTTCTGCTTTTCTGAAACTCAGAATGCATGAATAGTACATCATTTGTTATAGCCTTTCATATTCATGATATGATGTATAATTTTTTCAATTATTTTACCCTGTATTGTTTAGAGTATATAATTTCTATTGATCCAACCTCAAGAACACTGTCTTTCCTCCATCATTTTCTTTATGCTATTTATCATGCCCAATA
The DNA here is from genome assembly GCF_000001405.40 of Homo sapiens. Taxonomy (NCBI): domain Eukaryota; kingdom Metazoa; phylum Chordata; class Mammalia; order Primates; family Hominidae; genus Homo; species Homo sapiens. The sequence continues at coordinate 88,514 of NW_003571050.1, forward strand.
AAGGTTTTTTAAGACATTATATTTTTCATTTCTAAAATATCTGTTTTCTTAATTTATAATTTATAATTCCTATTTTTCTGCTGACAAGTTTTTCCTTTCCATTCATTTTGAGTGTCTACCTTGACCTCATGAAGGATGGGTACAACAGCTCCTGTAAAGTCTTTGGTCATTTTAATATCTAAGTAATTTCAAGGTTGTAATTTCTTGATTGTTTCATTCCTTGAGAAATGGTCGATTTTTTGTGAGTTGTTTTGAGTACATTGAGTAATTTTCTGTTTTATCTTGCACAGAGGGATTTTCTCTTTTTGCAATACACAAAAAGCCCAATAAGGGTAGGTTCGGACATTGGAGGGTGAAGGCACTCATGGTAAATTATGCTCCACCAACTGGCTCAAATGGCCAGGGAGTTTGTCCCACTAACATTTTTGGTGGTTTTCCCTGGGTCAATCTCTCTGGCACTTATGAGATAATATTTTAAGTATTTAATATCACACCATACATACAGATATAAAGACAATAAAAAGCAGTGCATCGAATGGGTCCAAAGGGCCCTATCCACAAAGTCTTCCTAACTTTGGTGTGTGTGTGTGTGTGTTTGTGTGTGTGTGTGTGCACTGTTTGTTCAATCCTCATCAGTTGAACTCAGGCACTTCTTTTTCCTTTTTCTTTCTAAACCTGCTTGTTAGAGGCTGTCACAGTAGCCAGAAGGCCCTGCTATCTTCTATTTGAGTATTTATAGAATGCAGGAAAAAAGAGGGTAAACTATAAAGAACGACTGTAGGCCTCCCCGGTGCAGTGGCTCATGCCTGTAATATCAGTACTTGGAGAGGCAGAGGTGGGAGGACTGCTTAAGGCCAGGAGTTCTAGACCAGCCTGGGTGACATAGTGAGACTCCTCTGTCTTTACAAAACACTAAAAAATTATCCAGGCATGATGGTGTGTGCCTGTTGTCCTAGTCATTTGGGTGGCTGAGGTGGGAGGAAAAGAAGGGAAGGAAAGAGGAGGGGATGGGAGGGGAGGGGAGGGTTGGCTTTTTTTTTTTCCTCTTGGCTTCTTGCCCTTCTTTCTAGTGCACCTCCCAGTAGGGTCTCTTTTGTATTTCCTCACATGCTATTGTCCTCCATCCCTCAGCACCCCTTCCCCCAACCCCCAGAACCAAGTAGAATGGTGATTTGTGCACATATATCCAACAGGGCTATACTAATTTGAGTCCCTACTCTCCTTGAAGCTTTGCAATATGTTGGGATGGTTCTGTAGGGTCTTTGGTGTCCCTTGGGTCAGGAAGATCTCAGGCCCAGCCCGAATCCCTAAAGCAATTGACATCAGAATAGAGGTAAAGAAGTTATCAGGGAAATATAGAGAAAGTGTCTTCAGGCCAGTATGCAAGACACATTTACTTTCAAATAAGCATTATTGCCACTACTCGGTGGTTAACTGAATAAGCATCTGAATGTAACAACTTTGGGAGATCCTTAATCTTTTCACCTTTCCACCAAAGGCCTGTAACAACTTTGGGAGATCTTTAATCTGTCTACCTAATGTTATCTGGAGAAGACAGCTAAATCTAAAAGTGTCATTTGGAAGTCTGTTTCAGTTCTACCAGTGGTACTCAATTTTCAACCACTTCCCAATCCTCCTCATTAATGAGCAACATAATAGAAGAATATTTATTTACCAATTACAAACATTTTAGTCAACATGTTAGCTACCAGTTCCCATGGACTTTCAGCAAATCCTATTAATCAGCTTGTAGGATCCTTCACTTTCTCCTCAGAAGGCCAGGTCTTTGGGCTGTGTTCCATCCTCGTTGCCAAAATTATTATAAGCTAACAACTTAGCTTGTCACTTGTTGTACTTGCAGAAGGCAAAAGATGGTTTATTATTCACTGAAGTACTAGCAGTAGTCAGAGGAATATCATCGTACTATTTCTTCAAGCTTCAGTCCCCTCACAGGGATAAGATGAGAAACTGATGTTACATGTGCAAGTAGTGGTGTCTATCAAAAGAGAAATCTCAAAATTAGGAAACTCCAGTCTTAAAAACTTTGATCACTGTGAGTAACCTGTCCATCTTGCCTTCTGAAGAAGAAGCTTTACACTGGAATGTAAGCAAATATCTCTGGAGAGAAGAAGAAGAAGAGAAGAGTCTTTATCTTTAAACAAATCTGCCTTCTGACCAAGAGGGATACCCTATTTCTAAATCCCAAGGCTCTTTGCCATGACCTGGTCTTGGGCAAAGTGAACGAGACTCCTAGGGCACAAAACGTAAAAAGGCATTCAATAGGTTGCAGGGCCCTAAAACCAAGTGGCTCCTCAAACTTTGCACCCTGCATGCCTTGCTCACCTGATCCTAGTTGAGGCCCTTCTGTTTGCTCATCAAACATACTGTTTGCTCACAAGATAAGAGCTAGACCATGCAGAAGTGCAATACATTCATGGAGAATTTTTTTCCCAACATCCATTCCCAAGATCAAGGTTACACAGTTGCCAAAGATTGTAGAGTATTCTGAATATATCATCTATTTTCTTCCTGGACAGAACTAAATCCATCAGAAGTAACTTTTTTAAAAAATGTTTCTTTCTTTTGCATACAATTTGTTTTTATTTTAGATTAAGAGATGAGTCCAGAGGTAAGGGGGACAGGAGAACTGTGACATCAGGGATGACACTACCCTTTGAGAGCACTGGAGCAGTTAGAAAGGATTGAAAGTGAATAATCTTATTTCATAAGGGGTATGTCATTTTATGATTCAAATTAAGTCTGTGATTATCACTTAGCAAAATTGCTAAAATCATTATCAGAATATCCCATATCATGATAGGAGGAAGAAAAAGAAGTAAAATCTAAAATTGTTATGGAGGTAAATAGAAGACTGCCATAAACAAGCTATCTACAGAATTATGGGGCTTAGGAATTCACAGTACCCTATAAACAAGAACACAGCTTTGAGAATTTCTATACTCTAATTTTTAAAAATGAAGTATATTTTGTGAATTTTTCACCCACAAATTATTTTAACTGGAAGCCATCACAGCTCATTAATCAGCAATTGGTGAAGGACTAAAGCAGCCCAAATCATTCCTGTCTCAAAGTAAGGCCTGCTTGTAAGCAAGTGTGAACTGGGGATGTATGTGCAGAAATCAGAGCCTAAGTATGGTAAGCTGGACATTTCAGAGATAAGGAAGGCAGCTGGTGTGTGTGAAATCTTATATCAATAACTGATTTTATTTTTTCAGTCCTAATTGCTATTATGGAATTTGTGCTTTTCATTATTACATCTTCACAAAGCATGATTTTTAACTTTAGAACAATTTACATTTTATGCTGGATAATTCTGTTGTGAGGGACTGTCATGTGCATTGTGAGATATTGAGCAGCATCCTTGTCCTCGTACAGTTATCAGGTAAAATACAGAGTGTGTCAGTTCAATTTGAATTTCAAATAAGCAACAAATAATTGTCATTGTCTGTGTATCCAATTATCAATGCTGCAGGTCTGTAATTGGTCCTCCATAGCACACTTACATTATGATGTAAACTCATATTATGGTTATCACAAGTAATACTTATTTATAAATTTATTCTTGTTGTTTTTTCTTTTGTCTGAAATGTAAATTTAACTAGGCCTCCTATATTTTTATTTGCTTAATCTGTTAACATTACAATAGATGCCAGCAGCATCCGTCCAATTTTAACTGAAATGTCTCCAGGCATTATTAAATGTCCCCTAGGGGGGCAAAATTGCCCTGTGTGGAGAACCACTGTCCTAAAGGGATTTCATCCTTTGCACATGGAAATCTCGTGGTCTATTCTCTGGATATTTTAATTTTATTCACACATTTAAAATTTCGTTTTAGGCCTGCAATGTCCAGGTTATTTTTCTAGGGTTTACTTTTTGTTCTATCGATTACCATATAATTAACTTTTTAAAATACTTTCTGCAATGTTGAAAATTTGTCTTTTGTCTTTACTGCTGAAAATTATATTATTTGCTTGCAATATGTTCTTTTTTTTCTTAGAGAGAACGTAATTGTTCTTCAAAATCTGCTTCCAATTATTTCATTTTAAATATTTATTACTGTTACCTTAAACTTGCGATTGTGTTCTTTTATTTAACCTGCTATTTTTACATGCTTTCTCATTACATTTTTAAGAGGAGACGTTCTTATTAAATTCAATTCTGTAAACTGATTGGTTATCCCTGATTTGTTTTTCTTTTCAAAACTTTATTTATTTTTCTTTCTTTACACAGTGACTTTCATCAAATGAGATCCTGTATTTGTTACTATCGTCTTGGTCTTCTATATTTTTATTTACTAAACCTGGTAACTCTACACTAGATGCCAGCAGCAGTCCTCCAATTTTGCTTACTTAAAATCTTACTGATTTTTTAATACGTGTCCTTGCCTTCCTTACACAGTTAACCAATTGAGTAAAATTTTATTGTTAGTCCAAAGATTCAGATTCTACAGTACAAGTCTGTTGTAGATGGTCAAGATTGTAACATTTTTGATGGTCAAAGTTGCTTAGTGTTTTTAACTGAAAATGACTGAAAATATTAACAGAATAGGGCTTATATTTGGAAATAACTCTTAGTGATGTACATTTCAATTGACTTTGTTTCATATCCTCAAAGTTTTCACTAAGCTGTAGACTCTACTAACTATTTTCATTTGAGTTTTCCTTTCTAGTTTTAAATTATCAATTGATCATCATTTTTAGGATAGGAACTAAATCCCTATGTGTTTGTACATATAAATCTGATTTTATATACACTCTATACACATACATAGATATTATAATTCTTGATGTATTTCTATTCTATTCTAATGCTTATGCAACATATTAATAAAATTTAAAGATAGAGTAATCTATTATATTGATCACAGTGCCTAATGAAAAATGCATTTTCAATATATTAGAATTTTACTATTAAATACATAATCTCCATATATGGTGCAAACAAGGTAGCAATCTGTTCTGCTTAATTTAAATCAGCAAGTATTTTCAATAATGCTCAATATATCATAGAACATAATGAGAAAATAAGAGGTAGGTGAAAGAAACAAATGTGTAGCCCTCCTGTTCTTCTTCCTTTTTTTCTTTCTGAGAATATCATCACTCATATCAGGCATGTTTATAAAAATGAGAGATTATGTCCTTTTTGGCATACTTCATCTTCTTCAGGACACAGAGAGAAGCTTGCTTCAGTTTGCTGTCCCGTAAAATTAGAAGAAATGAATGGCCAGATGGATGGAAAAATACCAGCACACTACTAAAAGTCCTTGCCGCAACGAAGTCTAGAAGAGGACAGGCCAATGTTAGTATGATACTGATGAAATAATGCACAATAAAGAGGAGTAGAAATGAAATTATAGCTTTTATAGGTTTTACATGGGCTTCTGTGCTGGGATCCCTGGAATAAATACCATGTAGCTTCATCTGCCTGGTGTGGCTCCATAAGGAGAGGATTAAGAGAAGAATGGAAGCCAGTGTTTCCACAAAAGGAAGGATGAACATCATCTGAAGGAGAAACAGAGAAGTGAAATCATGCATGGTATCCATATAATTAAATGTCAAGTTGCCTTTTATTGTTACCCGTTCTTAGATTAAACTATTAATTATTATTTCCTTCAGAATGGAAGTTGTGCAGAAAGAGATCGTTGCCTCTAGTACAATAAAGAGAAGCACCTTGTGAATTTTCCATTTCATCCAGAGGAAAATGGGATTGGAGAAGTTGGCTACCTTGAGGAAATAGAAGACACTGAGGCAAGTGGTACAGGACAGGCAGAAATAGCTGGATCCTGTCCAGAGAATGTCAAAACTTACTGCAAGATTCTTAGAATCAGGCATTTTCTCATAGCCTATATTGAAAGAGGTAGCTAAAATTGTTATCTACAGGAAACATATCCTGGAGATGGCCAAGCAGTTGAGAATAAAATCAATCAGGGAGACCTTTCAGTTCCTGATTCAGTCAATGATATTAACCAATACAATGAATCAATTTCCCACAGTCCCCATTATGAATTACACTACAAGAATTCTTATAAACAGTGTCTCCCAAATGCTTGACATGCCTCTACATAGTGAATCTCTGCCTTCAATACACCATTGGCTGATTGATCCTAGCTGCACTGTTATAGATTTATATATCCAAAGGAGTGACTTCTTTCTGTTTTATTGATGGCCATTGGTGTAGTCTGGAGAGATCCAAGGTGTGTTCTAAAATTAGATTTCAACTAAATTGTAAAATATACAAGTTTTTTTCCCTTGAGGGTATCAGCTAGTGATTTTCAAGGCAAATATTATATTCCCTGCTACTATTGACTCTGGTTGTATTTTACATGGAAAGTTCTGCATTCAAATTTGAACCCTCATTTGTTAACATGCAAAATTGAAGTAGATTCTCCTTTATAGTTTTACAATGCCATCTTTTGCTTAAAGGTTATTCATTTGTATGATGTATCCCTTTGATTCATCTACCACCCTGGGCTAGAAATTCTAAGCCCCCATATAGAAAAATGCAGTATATATTTAGAGTTTATGATCAGCATATTTCTTCATTATCAACCTCACTAATGCAGATTATTTATAAAATATGCAAAGTTTAAGAAAATGGAGAAAACTGCTCTCTGATATAATACCAAATCTTTTAGAGAGTATGGAAGTTTTTGGCCAGGCACGGTGGCTCACGCCTGTAATCCCAGCACTTTGGAAGGCCAAGGCAGGTGGATCACCTGAGGTCAGGAGTTCGAGACCAGCCTGGCCAACATGGTGAAACCCTGTCTCTACTAAAAATACAAAAATTAGCTGGGCTTGGTGGCATGCTCCTGTAATCCCAGTTACTCGGGAGGCTGAGGCAGGAGAATCGCTTGAACCCAGGAGGCAGATGTTGCAGTGAGCCGAGATCACACTACTGCACTCCAGCCTGGGTGACAGAGTGAGATCCGTCTCAAAAAAAAAAAAAAAAGAGAGAGAGAGTATGCAAGTTTTAAAACATACGATACATACTTTGGCACTTCTTCTATTGATATCTTAGGAGTCTGTGTACTCTGTCCTTAAATCTAGAATGGTTTGTGACTAATTCAACTAATAAAAATGCTATAATAATTCTAAAGCTAAATCATGAAAAGCCATGCAGTTTTTTCTTAATCACTGCAATATTTACTCTTGGAGTCCTAAGCCACATGTAAGTAGTCCAACTACTCTGAGGTCACAATGTCCAAACCCACATGCAGAGGCCATGTGCAGGCCCTCTGGCTCATTATCCCACGTGAGCCCAGCTTTTACGTCCTTTTACCCCAGGTACTAAACCTATGAGCCAAGAAAGCGATATTTGACCTGTCTGATACGGTAGATACTAGCCACATGTCACACGTGGCTTTTTAAATTCACATTAATAAAAATTAAATAAGATTAAAAGTACAGAGCCTCAGTATTACTAACCATATTTCAAATGCTCACTAGCCACGTGTGACTATTTTATAGCCAACATACATAGGGGATATTTCTATCATTGCCTATCATTGACATTTCTATGTATTTCTCAGCTCCGCCTTAGATAAGTTCAGCCCCTGGTCACTTGAATTGCCCCCAGTTGTTCATAACTTTCTGGCTAAAGGCTTAGACATTCTGGAACAAAAAGAAGCCATCCCTGCTATGTCTTGAACAAAACCCTAACCTACAGAATCTTTAAGTGAATTAGTCTATTCTTGCATTGCTATAAAGAAACACCTGAAACTGGGTTTCTGTAAGAGGTTTAATTGGCTCATGGCTTCACAGGCTGTACAGGAAGCATGGCGGCATCTGTTTCTGGGGAGGCCTCAGGAAATGTATAAAGATGGCGGAAGGCAATGGGGAAATCAGATACATCTTCACATGGTTGGAGCAGGAGGAAGAGAAAGATGGGGGAGGTGCCTTACACTTTCAAACAACCAAATCTTGTGATAACTCACTCACTCACTATTGCCACACCACCACCAAGGGGGAAACTGCCCCCCATAATCCAATCACCTCCCACCAGGCCCCACCTCCAACATTAGGGGTTACAATTCAATATGAGATTTGGGCGAGGACAGAAATTCAAACCATATCAACAAGCACAATAAAATGGCTGTTATTTTACACCATGAAGTTTCTGGGTGATTTTATTATGCAGCAATAGAGCATCAGAATAGAATTATTTAGCATATGAATGGTATCAATATTTTGTCATTTCTAATTTCCATGTCTGTTTTTCTCTTCTATCCCAAATAAAGGTATCCATAGCATCTTTATTTTCCTCAGTGTAAGGGGAACTTGTATAAATTTTCTATAATTTTTTCATACGTTGAGCTGAACTTAATCTTAATTCTGATGAGGTCAAACCAGGAAAGGCCAATTAGTCATGTTCTTTGTGTAATGCAACTGCTGCATTTCCCTCCCAAAGTAGCTAGTCCAAAATTTAGTGACATTCAAAACCAATGGAGATATAATATAGGCCTAAGAGGAGTCAAAGAAATGAATGAGTTGGACAGCCCACCAAAAGATACACCCTAGGTAAATTCACAAAGAAAACTCCATGACTAAAAGAAAGGCTAATTGTGATAGGCAAACATGAAATGCAAACAAAACTGAAACTGAAATAAACAAAGGGAAATTCAGGAAAATATTATATGCTGAAAAAGGGTTATTTTATTTGTCTTATTGAATATCTTCTTTGTTCCAGCCCTCTAGGAGGTGGGATGAAGCATTAAATACAACTATTTTTAAATGCCCTTAATAAGTTGACATTCTGAAAAGATGAACTCTAAACATATAACTAATAAAATATATATCATACAGATATAAAATATAGTTTATAAGAAGTTGCAAATATAAGTAGAGAGGGTCAATAGAAAGCATGTCAGAAGAGGGGTTGAAATTTTAAATAAGGTGCTTAGGGAAGGACTCATTGAGAAGGTGATGTCTGAACAAAGACCTAAAGTAGGTAAAGAAATTATCCATGTTTTGTCTGGGTAAAGTACATTCCAGACACACGGAACAGCATTATCAGTGTGCTAACATTGGATGTACCTAGTGTGTCTGAGGAAGAACAAGGAAAGCAGTGTGACTGTTGCGGAGATGAGAGAGTGAGACCACTAAGAGTGAAGTCTCAGAAAGAAGAGGCATGTGCCCAGAAGGCAGCACATACAGTCAAAAGAGATTATTTTAGAACGTTAATATTTAACGCCTGCCCTGCTGTGTTTTGTACTTGCGTGGTGCCTACTGCTCCTCTCTTGTGGCTGATTTCTCCCTTTTGGAATGAGAATGTCTATCCAATGCCTGTACAACAACTGTATCTTGGAAGGAAATAAATTGTTTTTTATTTCACAGGCTCATAGCTGGAAGGAACTTGACTTCCAGTCTCAAATGAGACTTTGGACTTCAGACATTTGAATTGATGCAGCAACGTGTTAAGAATTGGGGGACTATTGTTGGGATGGAAAGATTACATTTTTTTTTATGTGAGAAGGACACGAGTTTTCAGGGGACCAAGTCAGAATGCTATGGTTTGTACACGGTTTGTTTGTCCCCATCAGAACTCATATTGGGATTTGATCCCCAAAGTAGTGGTGTTGGGAGGTTGAGCTTAGTGAGAAGTGTTTGAGTCATAGGGTTGGTTCCCTCATGAATGCCTTGGTACCATTTTCAATGTAGTGAGTGAGTTCTCACTCTCACAAGACTGAATTTGTTCTAGGGGAATGAGTTGTTTTTCATGAGAGTGAATTGTTATAAAGCCAGGATGCCCCTTTGGTTTATTCTCTCTTCACATGTGCCCGCTTCTGCTTTGACCTTCTCCACCATGGTTTGACCCAGCACAAAAGCTCTCAGCAGAAACTAAGCAGATGCTAATGCCATGCTTCTTGTACAGCCTGCGGAACCATGAACTAAATAAACCTCTTTTATTTATAAATTACTCAGCTTCAGGTATTCCTTTATACCAACACAAACAGACCAAGAAATTGAGGAATAATATTTATAAAATTATTTCAGTGAATTAAATTAGATAAAATGGACAAATTCCCTGAAAGAAATTACTGAATCAGGCACACAAAGAAATAGAAAATCTTAGTGTCTATTTTTAAAAATTGAATTCTTAATTTAAAACTTTCACACAAAGCAAGGGATGACCTGAATGTTTATTTTCATCACATATTTAAGAAGAAAAAAATACCAACCTACATAAATTTTTCAACAAAGTCTCATAAAGGTTAACTCTGTGAGCTTTATTTCAAGAAGGAAAGTGGGAATCTACCAGAATCATAAGGACACACAGATCCCAGGGAGGGGAACATGGGCAAACAGCCCCCATGATGGCACCCAGTTAAAAAAGTGAATGAAGCTCCAGTAGGTGAGAGAGGCAGAGAGCCTCCCTCTGTGACTCACCTTTCCACTGGGGATCTGAGCAACCCAGTGCTCAGAGGGAAGAGTACCTTGTTTCTCCAAAGCCCTGGAGATAACTTGGAGAAAGGCTTAGAGACATTGTAAGGGAAAGACACTGGGAAAAGGTTCAGGCCTTTTCTCAGACCCAGGACTGAGAGCAGGATACCATTTTTAATTCAGATGCCACAAAGTCAATCATTCTTTGGTAACTAAGCAGCGTAGCTGTGCAGGCATTTTAGTCTTGGGCCAGATATTGGAGCACCTGCTTTAGAGCAGGGTGGGGACCTCCATGGCCAGAATTGTGGGGAAAAAAAACCTTAGCAGCAAACACTGAAACTGTGCTATCCCCCATCACAGGCCTGGGGCAGGAGGGGAGCTGCTACAGCCAGTTTATCCTATGTGATGAGACTTGCAACCAGGCAGCTTAGCTACTTGGAACTAGTCTGTGTGTGTCATTGCTGGGTACCCCACCCTGTTCCCCTGTGATTGTGGTGCAGCAGACTCTCCTCCACTCTACCTCTAGGCAGAAATCTGGGCATTTGGATCACTCATTCACCTGGTTCAGCAGCTTCATCTGCTCCACCCTTCTTGTGCAGAGATCCTAGAATAGGGAGGCCCTCTCTGCTTCATGCCTAGGCAGATCCCAGGATTTTGGAGCACCTGCTAGCAAGGTTCAGCACCCTGAACCACCTAACCTTCCTTGACGTAGGTCATGGTGCAATGGGGCCCTCTCTGCTCCACAGCCAGGCAGAACTCTAGATATCTGAAGCACCCATTCACCTGGCTCAGCAGCCTATCCTCCCCTACCCTTCCTGTGCAGAGATTTTGATGCAGGGAGGTCCTCTCTGCTGCATACCCTAGCATTCAAAGCACCTGCTCACACAGACTGGCAACCTGTGCTGCCTCACCCTTCCCGTTCACAGATCCATGTACTGGGCTGATCCTCTCTGTTTTATGCCCAGGCAAATATCCAAGCATTAAGAGCACCTGCCTGCCTAGTTAAGAAGCCTGAGTCACCCCATTTACCCTGTGCAGAAATCTTGGTTGGTGGGGGTGGGTTCTGCTCCACAAGCAGGCAGATTTCCAGGTATTCAGAGCCCCCACTCTCCTGGATTAAGAGTTTAGGCCAATCTCTCCAATATCCCTGTGCAAAGAACTTGGAGCCGAGGGGGTTACCTAGCTCCACCCCTAGACAGAACTCTGGTCACTTGGTAGCCACTCAGTAGATTCTCCCTCAGTGTTGGTGCTTGTGTCTGCCATTGGAAGACCTATAGGTGGACCTGCCTTGTCTGGCCCCACCCACCTTGCTCCCCACAACCCCCAAGGCTGAGCAGGGAGTTCACACCACTGTGTACTCCATGAGTCAGACCATTATCTGCAGCAACAGAGAGTTTCTTCCAGTAAACAAGGATCAAATATATAACCATCACATTGTCCAAAACTGGCTCTTACCTATAAGTGCCATCTACTGGCTTGTAGGTTGAACCGCACAGTCTAATATAAAACCTGCAACCTGTAAGTGCATAAGGCTATAGAAGCTGGGCAAAAGACCTACCCAGAATTCTCTAAAGTCATACCTCCTAAGGAGGGAGGGGGAATGGAAAGGGAAAGAAAAAAGAACAATAATATTATAGGGAAATAAAGAAAAAAATCCTACCTTATGGAAATAATTACAAAAATTAGAAGTGCCAGTATTGCCAGAGGAGGAGGAAAGAGAACAAGAATTCTACCACCATAAAAAAAGTGAATGTAATGAAATCAACACCATCAAAGGAGCACAGTACCTCTCCAGCAATGGTCCCTAACCAAAACAAAAGCTCAGATATGACAGATAAAAAATTCAAAGTATAGATTGCAAGGAAGCTCAATGAGATGCAAGACAAGGCTGAAAATGAATACAGAGAGATTTCTAAAGCAATCCAGGAAATGAAGGAAGACATAAACATCTTACAAAGAAATCAATCAGAGCTTCTGGAATTGAGAAACTTACTTAAGGAATTATAAAGTACAATTGAATTCATATAAAGTACAATCTCTCATAGACTGGACCAAGCAGAAGAGTTTCAGACCTTGAAAACTGGTCTTTTGAACTAACCCAGAAAAAAAAATTAAAAATAATTTAAAAATATGAATACAGTCTTAGAGCAATATGGGATTATGTGAAGCAACCAAACTCATAAACTGCTGGCATTCCTGAGAAAGAAGGAGAAATAGTTAATAACCTGGAAAACATATTTGAGGAAATAATTTAAGAAAATTTCCCTAATCTTGCTAGAGAGGTAGACATACAGATACAAGAAATCAAGAGGACACCTGACTGATGCTATAGGAAATGAACATCACCAAAGCATATAGTCGCCAGACTATCCAAGGTCTACACTAAAGAAAAAAATCTTAAAGGCAGCTAGAGAAAAAGATCAGATCACATACAAAGGGAACCCCATAAGGCCAAGTATATAGCTCAGCAGAAACCTTACAAGCCAGGAGAGATTGGAGGCCTACTTTCAGCATTCTTAAAGGAAAGAAAATTTTCCAACCAATAATTGTATATTCCATCAAACTAACCTTTATAACTGAAGGAGAAATAAAATCTTTTATAGACAAGCAAAGGGTAAAGGAATTTATTACCACTGGACCAGTCTTACAAGAGATCCTTAAGGGAGTTCTAAACATGAAAATCTGCTACCAAAATAGCACACCTAAGCACATAGCCCAAGACCCTATAAAGAAACCACACAATAGAAACTACAAAGCACCCAGCTAACAACTTCAAAATAGAATCAAAACCTCACATAGCAATATTAGCCTTGAATGTAAATGGTCTAAATACCCTCACTTAAAAGTCACAGAGTGACAAATTCAATAAAAAACAAAAGTCATCGGTCTGCTGTCTTCAAGAGACCCATCTCACATGTAATGTTACTGTTAGGCTCAAAGTAAAGGGTTGTAGAAGGATCTGTAACACAAATAGAAAAGAAAAAAAGAAAGAATCACTATTCCTATATAAGATAAAACAGATTTTAAACCAACAACAGTAAAAAAATGACACAGAAAGGCACTACATAATAATAAAGTGTTCAATTCAACAAGAAGACTTAACTGCCCCAAATATACATGCACTCAGCATTGGAGCACCAAGATTCATGAAACAAGTACCTCCAAACCTATAAAAAGATTTAGATACCCACTCAATAATATTGGGGGACTTCAACACCCCACTGAGAAGATTGGACAGATCATTGAGGCAGAAAACTAACAAGGAAATTCTGGACTCTTGAAAAAACGCTCAAATAATTAGGCATTGAAGGAACATACCTCAAAATAATAAGAGCCATCTATGACAAAACTACAGCTAACATTACACTGAACATGCAAAAACTGAAAGCATTCCCCTTGAGAACTGGAACAAGAAAAGGGTCCCCACTCCCATCACTCCTATTCAACATAGTATTGAAAGTCCTAGCCAGGACAATCAGGCAAGAAAAAAAAAGGCATCCAAATAGAAAAATAAAAGCCATAGTCAAACTATATCTCTTTGCTGATGTGAATCCATACATACAAAACCCTAAAGACTCTGCCAAAAGGCTCCTGGCACAGATAAAGGACTTCTGTAAAGTTTCAGGATACAAATCAATTCACAAAAATCAGTAGCATTTCTATACAATAAAAATCTTCAAGCTGAGAGCCAAATCAAGAATGCAATCCCATTTACAATAGCCTCAAAAAAAAAAAAAAAAAAAAAAACAACTAGGACTACAGCTAACCAAGGAGGTGAAAGAGAACTGTGAAACACTGCTGAAAGAAATCATAGATGACACAAACAAATGGAAAAGTATTCCATGCTCATGGATAGGAAGAATGAATATTGTTAAAATGGTTGTACGGCCCAAAGCAATTTACAGATTCAACTCTATTCCTATCAAGCTACCAATGTCATTTTGCACAGAACTAGAAAAAAAAAACTATTTTAAAATTCATATAAAACCAAAAAAAGAGCCCAAATAGCAAAAGCAACCCTAAGCAAAAAGAAAAAAGCCAGAGGAATCACATTACCTGACTTCAAACTATACTATAAAGCTACAGTAACCAAAACAGCATGGTAATATTATAAAAACAGACACATAGACCAATGGAACAGAATAGAGAACCCAGAAATAAAGACACACAACTACAGCCATCTGATGTTTGACAAAACTGACAAAAATAAACAATGGGGAAAGGACTCTGTATTCAGTAAATGGTGCTGGGATATCTGGCTAGCCATAAGCAAAATAATTAAACTGAACCTTTACCTTTCACCATATACAAAAATTAACTCAGGATGGGTCAAAAATTTAAATGTAAGACTTTATACTACAATAATCCTGGAAGAAAACTTAGGAAACACCATTCTAAACATTGGCCTTGGGAAAGAATTTATGACTAAGTCCCCAAAAGCAATTGCAACAAAAAACAAAAATTGACAAGTGGGACCTAATTAAACTAAAGAATTTCTGCACACATTGTATAAACTATCAACAGAGTAAACAGACAACCTATAGAATGTAAGATTTGCAAACTATGCATGCAACAAGGGTCTAATATCCCAAATCTATAAGGAATGGAAACAATTGAACAAGCAGAAAACAAATAACCCCTTTAAAAACGAGCAAAAGACATGAACAGGCACTTTTCAAAAGAAGACATACGAGCAGCCAACAAATATTTTAAAAGGCTCAACATCACTAATCATTAGAGACACGCAAATCAAAACCACAAAGAGATACCATCTCACACCAGTCAGAATAGCTACTATCAAAAAGTTAAAAAAAAAAAAACAGATGCTAGTGAAGCTGTGGAGCAATGGGAACGCTTGTACCCTGTTGGTGGGCATGCAAATTACGTCAGCCACTGTAGAAAGCAGTTTGGAGATTTCTCAAAGAACTTAAAATAAACTACCATTCAACCTAGTCATCCCATTACTCAGTATGGTGTATGCACGCCACACTTTTTTGGTCTAATCCATTTTTTTTTTTTTGAGACAGAGTTTCACTCTGTTGTCCTCTCACTCTGTTCACAAGAAAATAAATCATTCTACCAGAAAGACACATGTACTCTCACAATTTCATTGGAACACTATTCACAATAGCAAAGGCATGGGAATCAACCTACGTGCCCATCAACAATGGATTACAGGCCAGGCACAGTGGCTCATGCCTGTAATCCCAGCACTTTGGGAGGTCAAGGTGGGCAGATACCTGTGGTCAGCAGTTCAAGACCAGCCTGGCCAACATGGTGAAACTCTGTCTCTACTAAAAATACAAAAATTAGCCGGGCGTCCTGGCACCTGCCTGTAATCCCAGCTACTTGGGAGGCTGAGGCAGAAGAATCGCTTGAACCTGGGAGGTGGAGGCAGCAGTGAGCTGAGATCATGTCACTGCACTTCAGCCTGAGAAACAGAGTAAGATTCTGTCTCAAAGAAAAAAAAATGGATTAGACCAAAAAAGTGTGGTATATATAGACCATAGAATACTATGTAGCCATTAAAAAAAAATGAAATCATGTCCTTTGCAGCAGCACGGATGCAGCTAAAGGCCATTGTCCTGAGTGAATTAATGCAGAAACAGAAAACCAAATACTGCATGTTTCACTTATAAATAGGAACTATACAATTTTAACTAACACTACTAAGTGATAGAATTGAGAATTGTACCTCTGACTCCAGACTCAGTCCTTAACTATTATAGTGTTTTTTGTGGGGACCATATGAGTGCAGAGGTGAAAATACTGACAGATATTGAAAGATGCTATTGGGTAAATAAACTACAAGAGAGTTCAGAGAAATTAATGATAAAAATGATCATACTACTCCTCTCACTTACCTAACTTTTAAGCAAACCCATTTGGGAGGTCCTTTCTAAAAAGAAAATAAAAGAGAGAAAATGAGAATGCTCAAGTAGATAGTACTATTGAAACAGGTTACTAAAAATGCATGTGGTATCACCAAAGAACCTGTTCTGACAGCAGAGAAAATGAAATTAGGCTTTCTGTCCTTATACTCAAGGATAACTGTGCCTTATTGCAAATATTTATTCCAACTGTTCCATAAAATATCTTTGAGTTTTGAAAGCAAAAAAAGTTAAAAATAATTTTCTTACAGGAAAATAGTTGATTATTGAACTTCATTAAAAGTTTTTAATGTCCTCTCTTTGAAAGACACTGTAAAGAAAATGAAATGACAAGCCTCTGGCTGGCAGAAAATATTTATAAAACATATGTCTGATAAAGAACTTATATTCAGAATGATATGGTCTGGCTGTGTCCCCACCCAAATCTCATCTTGAATTGTAGCTCCCATAATTCCCATGTGTTATGGGAGGGACTCAGTGGGAGATAATTGAATGATGGGGGTGGTTTCCCCCATACTGTTCTCATGGTAGTGAATAAGTCTCATGAAACTTGATGTTTTTATAAGGGGTTTCCCCTTTCGCTTGGCTGTCATTCTCTCTTCACTGCCACCATGTAAGACGTGACTTTTGTCTCTGCCATTATTGTGAGGCCTTTCCAGCCATGTGGAACTGTCAGTCAATTAAACCTCTTTTTCTTTATAAGTTACCCAGTCTTGAGTATGTCTTTATCAGCAGCATGAAAATGGACTAATACAGAGACTATATAAAGAACATTTACAACTCAGTAATAAAAACAGAAAGCAATGAATCAAGCTAAGTAGTTGGCAAAAGGTTTAAACAAACATTTCATAAAAAGAGGTTGTATGAATGACCCAAAGCATATGAAAAAATCATCAGCCTCACTAGCCATTAGGAAAATGTGAATTAAAACTATGATGAGATGCCATTACATTCTGACTAGAATGGCCAAAATAGAAAACAAAACAGAGTACCTACCAACTGTTGGCCAGAATGTGAAATAACTGAAACACTCGTATATTGCTGGCAATAGTATGAAATGGTGCAACCACTCTATAGAACTCTGGCAGTTTTTTCTTAAGTTAAACATACACTTATCATATGATTTGACATTTTTACTCATAGGTATTTACTCAAGAGTGAGGAAATTGTATATCCAGAAGAAGAGAAATACATGAATGTTGATATCAGTTTTATTTATAATGGCCAATAATTGAAAACCATTTGAATGTTCATTAACAGGAAAGAGAAATTTTTTAATGTGGTATATCCAACACTACTCAGGAACACTGCTCAGGAACAAACTACTGATTAATACAACAAAACAGAAGAACTTCAAAAACATTATGCTGAGTTAAAGAAGCCTCACATATAACAATACACACTCTATAACTGTATGTGTGTGTGTGTGTGTGTATATATGGCATCTATATATCTATATCTATAGATATATAGATGCATAAAATTCTAGAAATCAAAAACTCTCTTATTGTTACCAAAAGCAGATAAGTAGTTGCTTGGGAAAAAGGGCTGGAGGGGAGAGGGTAAACTGCAAAGGGCACTGACATTGTGGTCACACAAGTGTATACATTGTCAAAACTCTAACTGAAATGTGGACTAACATGTTGCATTTTATTATATGTAAATTATACCTCAATAATATTTACTTTAAAAGGCATAATGTAAAATATGTATGTACACATACATACAATATAATTACTAAAAAACCGTTATCTTTTTATGTGGCAGTTACTCATATTAAACTTTTTAACCCTCTCAATTCTCTCAACACATCAGTATAGTAATAGTGGCAAGTCCAAACTTCCCTAATTCTATTCCAAATAACTGTTCTAATTATCTGTAGCTCACCATTTAAATAGGAGTACTTGAGATAATAAAATAATTACCTAAATCACCCATCTCAATGAATGATTTAGAATTGAAGAGCCATTGCCAAACAAAAGATTGTAGATTTACAATTAACATCTAAGTATGCTGTAGTATATGTTTTTAATTTACAATAGAATCTGCCAATAATTTCCTCAAATAAGTTTCAAATTCCTAATAATGTAGAAATACATGTCATAAATACATAATATTCTTAGGTAAGATGCTATTATAGAGAAGAATTTAAAACATTTACAGTGACCTTCACAATAAAAGAAACCAGGGGAAGCATAAAATATCTTTTAAACTCCTTGTAGACTCCTGTTTCTGTCTGCAATATTCAATAATCTGTGGTCTGAATGGCTTATGAAATTGTGAGTTTCTCATCGTTTAGCCCATACCTTAGCTGCCACCAAAAGAAAGGCCTGTCTTAACTTAGCGTTTCCTAGAATCAGAAGAAAGGAGTGGCTTGAAGGAGAGAAGACTCCAATCGTCTCACAAAGCATGTAGATCACTGTGTTCTGATACAGCTCAGAAATCCATGATATGAGAACACATAGAAAGAAACTAGCATAGAATAAAAGGAATGAGATCACAATTTTCAAGGCATTTGTATGGACCTTGGTCCTGGGGTCTCTGTGTCCTTTGTAATTGAGTTGCATTTTCTGGAGATGTTTCTGCAGGGAGAAAATTAACAGGAGAAAAGAGATGAAGGCCACAGTAAATGGTGTTAGACTGAACATAGTCATAGTGAATTTGACCGACACTGAAAATGTTTCAAAGTCACTCATACTGAAATTCCAAGTTGTGTTTCTTTCATATCGGTCCAGCCAGTCTTTTATATGCATGTTTATTTGTATCAGATTTAAAAATAAGAAGACCAAGGTTCCTAGCAGTATCATCAGAATCACTTTGTTTACTCTCCACTTCAAATAGAGAAAAGCAGGGCTAGAGAAACTCGCTATTTTGAGCAAATAAAAGATGCTGAAGATTGTAGCAAGCCAGAGATTGAAGTGATTAGAAACTATCCAGCTAAAAATCATAATTCTTAATCCTGTTCCAGACACAAATATGGCTAGATAATGCAGAGCTAAAAACCAACTTACTAATATTTCCCAGATCAGCCCAATTCTGGAGATTGCCAAGATAATGAGGAGTTTATCGACTGAGGACAGCTCTCTTTTACTGACCCAGTCAATGCAGTTGATCAGTACTATAAATCCATTGCTCAAATTCCCAATTATGAATTCTGCAATTATTACAAGAGTGAAGATACTCGGCAGGGCACTTTCCATGTCAGAACAGAGAAAGTTCAATGTCTAATGTCACTGCTGGTTATTCACTGATCTAAAATGCTATTCACATCCTTGAGTGTCCAGTGGAGTTCTTCTTCCTTCTCCTTTTTCTGCTCCTTCTTTCATTGTTGGCTCAACGTCAAAGCAGAAATCTCTAAAGTTTGCTGATCGATCTTCACATAACTGTTCTGGTGATATCTTTATTTTTCTTCAATTTCTCTGCTGAGCCCTAGCTAAGATATTTATGTCTTCACCATGGGCAGAAATATTTCATAGATGATTATGCAGCAAAGTTAAACTCACATTTGCAACCATGCAAATAAAGATATATTCTCTTTCATTGTTTTGTACTTTTTTGCCTTGTCTGAGCATAGAAAATTAGATTCAACCAGCTTGAGTTCTGAGGTACAAATATTATAAAAATCTGATTCATAGAATATGTAGCTAAATGAAGCTTTTATGGCTAATAGCATAGCCAATGAAGCTTTATAAAATATGCAAAGACTTACCTATGCTATTTCAAAAGAGTGCTCAATTTCTTGTGGAGCTAAAGCTGGATCTGGTCAATACTGTGACTAAAGAGAAACTCGTTTACAAAGCATCCATCTTTCTCATTCCCTGCCTCATCACTACTTAGCAGTGCTCACCACCATCCCTCCATAGGCACCAAATGCCTTCACATTTTATCCGCTTTTCCCCTCATATTTCTTTTTTAAACTTAAAAGTGATAAAAAAACAAATTTTACAAAATCAGCAACAGCTACCAAAGAAAGCAGTACTATATTACATCATAACTTGCAAAACTGAAAACCAAGCAAAGAAATAGATACACTAGTTCCCCTTATCCATGAGGCCTATGTCCCAAGACCCCCAGTGGATGCCTAAAACAGCAGATAGTACCAAACTCTATATACAATATATTTTTTTCCTGTATTCACCTACCTATGATAAAGTTTAATTTGTAAATCAAGCACAGTAAAAGATTACAAAAATAACTAATAATAAAATAGAACAATTAAAACAATATACTATAATAAAAGTTGCCAGGGGTTGTGGCTCATCCCTGTAATCCTAGCAATTTGGGAGATTGAGGCGGGAGGACCGCTCGAGCCCAAAAGTTTGAGACCGGCCTGGGCAACATAGGGAGACCCTGTATCTAAAATAAATAAAAATTAAAAAAATAAAAAGTAAAAAAATGTGTTAAAATATATAGTGTGGTGTCTCTCACTCTCTCAAGATACCTTACTGTACTGTACACACCTATTTTTGGACTGTGGTTGACCTTGGGTCACTGAAACTGCAGATAAGCGGGGACTAATGTGTTCATTGTGAAGAGTCAAGGTTCCTCACCCCGCCCCACTCTTTCAAAAACTACCGAAAAAAAGTGGATTACCAAAATTCTGAAAACGTGGAGACTCAAGAAAGATTGTCTAATTCAAAATTAATATAAATAAAACACTTTATCTTGATTATAAGATAATAAGTAGCCATTTAGCTAGATGAATACAAAGCTATTTTTATTTAATAAAGATATAATTTGTGAATTATGAATGTTTGTATTTTATTACTCATGCAATCTTTATTGGGTGATCTACAGAGTACTAAAAAATTTACAAAATAATTGCATCATCTTTAATGATTTGCAAGTTTCAATTATAACTTAAAATAGGTAGATATTTTCTATTTTGTTGTTATAATGGTATATTTGTCAAGATAGAATAGAAAATGTCTCCTTTAACAGTTTGTTAGGTTTGTATATTTATGACCTTTAAATATGTAGCTATGTGGCATGTGGTCTTCCATTTGCATTCTTGACCCAGGGCTGAAGAGATCTTTTATACTTTTTCATTTTAGGGTGTTCTTCCTACCTATCTAGAGAAAAGGGTTTGGGGATGCCGGTCACAACTTGATAATACCCCAAATCTGTACAAATAGGCCTGAGGAATGGTACTGTACTTGCTGGTATATGAAAAAATACCACAGTTTTTAGAACTTGTGATATAACACATGACAAAGACATAGAGAATGGATAACAGGCTTGCGGTTCTGAGCTGCATTTTCCTGGTGTGTTTCCATAAGAGAAAACATTTAAAAATATAAATTTAATCAAAGAGATGTAGTCTCTCACTTCTATAAGAGAAAGAGAATAGATGCTAGGGAGCATCACAGAAAAACTTTTTCAGCAGTCTGAACTGAAAAGGAAAATGAGGCAAAGGGCAGGAAGAGGAAACAATGAAAGGTTTGAGTATGTAAAGTATTTTTTAAGTCACTGATGGATGCAGTTTGCCAACGTTGTGTTAGGATATTTGCAGCTATGTTTTTAAGGAATATTGACATTTAATTTTCATTTCTCATATTGTGCCTATGAGAATTTGGTATTAAGATTTAGCTAACCTCATATCATTTGTTTAGAAATATTTCTTTTCTCTTTTTCATTTTTGCTGCCTATTATTGTTACATATAACAAATATAGAACATTTAATGAAGTTTAAATGCTATAGTATAAAGTGCACACTAATTTAAAAGCCTCCCATGGCAAGAAAGAGAACTTTGTAAACCCCATAACACCTTATTTGCTCCTTTCTAATCACAACCCCTATCTTCATTCCAGAAGTAACAACTATCTGCAATTCAAATCACGTTATTGTTTAACTTTGTATATTTTAATTTGAATATGTATCCCTAAGCACTAGCTTGGTTTTGCCTGGTTTTGGATTGCACATGAATGGAATAATACTGTACACAATATTTTTGAATTTAACTATTTTTGATCAATATTATGTTTCTAAAATTAATCATGTTGCATATAGAGATAGATCATTTATTCAATTGCTGTATAGTATTAATGGAATGACAATTCAAAATTTATCTAGTCTAGTGGAAACACAAAGTTGGTTTATTTTGAGTTTGGAGACTATGATGATGATGATGCTACGAACATTCTTTAACATGTAACTTATTATTGAGTACATGAGCATACATTTCTATGATCTTGATCTGGAACCATTCCGTTGCCTATTTCTTCTGGTCTTGTTTTGGCAGTTACGACTTTCTAGATATTTGTCAGTTTCAATTATTTATGTTTTCATGTAATTTTGATTATAATATCATCTTATTAAATTTTTAATACCAACAGAATATATCCTTTAAATTCTTCATATTATTTGCTTTTCTTTTCATGATTTATCTTACCAGAAGTTTGCCTATTTTGTTAGTCTATTCAAGTCTGTCTTGGTCGATCTTTTCAGATGTATTATTTTTCATTAATTTCATCTCTTATATTGTTATTTAATTATTTTTACTTCCGTTGAGTATGTTTGCTGTTATATTCCTGGCATACGTTTTCCTCTTAGAATTTTTCAGCATTTCTCACAAGGTTTTACTATATTTTATTATACTTAATTTTAAATATTTTCTAAATTTATTGTGATTTTTCTTCCACCATAGACTATTTTTAAAATATATGTTCGAGTTTCCATTTACATAAAATTTTCTCTGCTAAAATTTATGTTATGCATATATGGTCAATTTTGATAAATGTTTTGTGTTTGCTGAAAATAATGTGTATCCTGTAGCTTTGGGGTGCAGTGTTTCATACATCCACTAGATCTATTTGTAATCATGTTATTTAAATCCTATTTACCTTTTCTGAGTTTTGTCTTTTTATTCTATTATTTCTTGAGATTTAATGTTAAACTATCCTGCTATGAGTATAGGTTTATCTATGTCTTTTAGAAGTCCTGTCAACTTTTACTTTACATATTTTGATGCCATGCTGATGAGTGCATAGAGCGTTAGAATTGTAGTATCTTCATGGCAAATATAACCTCTACTCACATGAGGTGACATTATCTATTCTAATGTCTTTTTCCTTAAAATCTATTTAGCCTCACGCCTGAAATCCCAGCACTTTGGGAGGCCGAGGCGGGTGGATCATGAGGTCAGGAGATCGAGACCAGCATGGCTAACACATGGTGAAACCAAGTCTCTACTAAAACTACAAAAAATTAGCCGGGCATGGTGGCAGGCACCTGTAGTCCCAGCTACTCGGGAGGCAGAGGCAAGAGAATGGCAGGAACCTGGGAGGTGGAGCTTGCAGTGAGCCAAGATCACACCACTGCACTCCAGTGTGGGTGACAAAGCGAGACTCCGTCTCAAAAAAAAAAAATCTATTTAGTATATATTAAAATGATTACATTAGCTTATTTTTGTTAGTGTTTTATGGTGTGATTTTTCTAAATTTTACTTTTAACTTCTCTTTGTTATTAGGATTTAGATATATATCTTGTACATAGCATAGAGGTCGTAAAATGGGACCTAGAGCTATATGCTAACATTTTATTCCTTGTAGGATAAGAAATGTAGTCTTGTAGGAGTCCCCTCTCCCCCTTGAAGTTGTATATTATGTAAATTTTTGGTCAATAAAATATTGTGGAAATGACATGTTGCTTCAGAGTGAGAGCATTTACTCACCACTATAAGACTGCAAATTTCTCATCTTCTTGCCTTGACACTCAAACAAGGGTCAATAAACCATCTATCAGCCTGGATTCTTTTGTGACCACTATGAGCACAGGACATGTAACAGAAATCAAAAACAAAAACAAACAACAAAAACTTCTCCTACGTGGAGTCCCTGAGCTTTGGGGATCTTGTTAGTACAGCATAGACTAAGCTATCTTGGCAAGTATGAGACTGGCCTCTTGAACTGGTATGTTACTAAAACAAAACACCTAACTTATGTGACACTGGCTTAATACTTGATTCATTGGCAGTGAGTGGCAAGAAAAAACATTACTGTTTACTGTAAAACAAGATAGGGAGTGGCAAAACATTCGATAGCAGTCACCTGTGGTTATGTGGGAGGTAAATCACATATTTGAAAGTTTTGTAACTCTAGAAAAAAAATATAATTGAATATATTAATGGTTCATTTGACAATTAAAAAAATTGACTTTAGAAAATAATTGCCTACTGTCTAGCTAAATAGCAAACAGAGGGAGATGCTCTAAAAGAAAATGATATTTATTTGGGAGTAATATTGCAATGAGAATACATGTGCCATAGTAAATTATGTGTGTATTCAGGGACATTAGAAAAGACAAGGATTTCTAAAAGAGGAAGATTACATAATTGTTTTGAGATAATTAACCTTGGATCCAAGGATCAGGAACAAGGGTGACACCTGTCTAAGGTTAGACAAGGAGGTTCTGAGCAGATGTCCTTGCAGAAGTATCTTTTTGTGTAGGGTTGCAGTGGCCTTTGTGCAATGTTGTTGTTTTGTAGAGTCTTTTCTGGTAGCTCTTGTTATAAGTCGTATTTACATTAAGAACTCTCCCCTCATGGCCTTCTCCAGCTCCATTTGTCAGAGTTTTAACACAAGTGACTTCATTTTGATTCTGACAATTTTATACTACTTTGCAAGCAGGAAAAAAATATATCAGAAAGAAGAGTCTAGAAACTTGAGATTTTGCAGAGCTGGAAGAGGCAACTGCTTCTCAACACTGAATAGTATTTGAGTTTCTAAGCCTGGTTAAAACTCAGCCATGGCTGGGCACGGTGGCTCACGCCTGTAATCCCAGCACTTTGGGAGGCTAAGGCAGGTGCATCACAAGGTCAGGAGATCGAGACCACCCTGGCTAACACGGTGAAACCCCATCTCTACTATTAATACAAACAATTAGCCTGGCATGGTGGCGGGCACCTGTAGTCCCAGCTACTTGGGAGGCTGAGGCAGGAGAATGGTGTGAACCCAGGAGGCAGAGCTTGCAGTGAGCCAAGATCATGCCACTGCACTCCAGCCTGGGCCACAGAGTGAGACTCCGTCTCAAAAAAACAAAAAACAAACAAACAAAAAAACTCAGCCTTAAGACTAGGATTATCTCAAGGGTATGGTTGTTACATCCATGTTAAAAATTCTGACTAGATTATATTTACAGAAAAAGGTTCAACTGACAGTTACTGCTCTTTCAGTTTGACAAGGTAATATCAAGGCAGAGTGATTAAATATCTGGTTTCCTGAATGAAGCCTTACAATGCTCAAAGTATCTGATATTAAATCCAGAGAGAAAAGCAGAGGGGTGAAAAAGCAACAAAACACAGCAAATATAAGAAGCAGCAGACTAGACAAAAACTGTGACTTGTTTGCTTGTATGTGAAGCTGACAGGAATTAAGTAGACTAAAAAATTGAGTTTCTTAAAAAATTGTGCTTCTGAAAGAAATGCCAACCCAAACTAGGTCACACGTGTCAAAGTATATTAAAATGGAGGCCAGGTCTGAAGAATCCCTAGGCAGACAAAGCCAGTTAGGTCTCATATGACCTTAAAACTGATTGATTTACAAAAGTAAGCAAAAATTAACTTGAGCTATTTTTTATAAATGCCTATAGTAAAGAAAAACAGAACTTAAACTCAACCAATCAAAGACAGCCAACAGGATAGCCAAACATTTGATTGGTTAGCTATAAAGTTACCTTATTTCATCTGTCCTGTCTTTGCTTTTCTTCTTTGTCTGTCCTATAAAAGCATCCCCATCGCGTTCCCTCGGTAGAGCTCCGGAACCACCTCAGTTTGGAGCTTTCCAATTTATGAACCATCATTTGCAAATAAACTTTTAAAAAACTTTAGTGTGCCTTAGTTGACCTTATTAACACATGTTGAGCTAAAACCCTGTATTAGTCTGTTCTCATGTTGCTAATAAAGACATACACAAGACTAAGTAATTTATAAAGGAAAGAGGTTTAATGAACTCACAGTTCTACATGGCTGAGGAGGCCTCACAATCATGGTGGAAGACAAAGAAAGAGGAAAGGGACATCTTACGTGGCAGCAGACAAGAGAGAGTTTGCAAGGCAACTCCCCTTTATAAAACCATCAGATCTCATGAGAATTACTTATTCATTATCATAAGAACAACATGGGAAAGACCCGCCCACGATTCAGTTGCCTCCCACTGAGTTCCTCCCCATGACACATGGGAATTACTCGGGAGCCACAATTCAAGATGAGATTTGGATGGGGACACAGAAAAACCATATCAAACCCTGTTCCAGAGATGCAGTTTAACATATTATGAGACAAATGGGAGCTCACAGACAATATGAGAATCTCTTGAAGATTACACTTTTTTTCCTAGTTCTAAAATTACATCTTTTTTAATGAGACTTATATTCTTCCCCCAACTCAGAACATTTCCTTGTCTTTAAGGGAGACCTGCCACAGATAGAGAACCATAGAAAATAACAGTAACAACCACATAAACTGTCATGTTAGCTATGAAAAGAGTTGGTGGAAGGAATGGGCTCTCACCAAGACAGTGAAAAATAGAGGTAGGTGGTAAACAAATATGCAAAAGGACCATTCAGAAACCCAAGCAAACTATCATTCTCCCCATTTTACTGGTGCTATAAATACCTGAAAAAAAGTGCCACAGAAATGGATTAGTGTTATCATCAACAAATATATTTGAGCCGGGCACAGTGGCTCACACCTCTAATCCCAGCATTTTGGGAGGCCAAAATGGGAAGATATCTTGAGCCCAGGAGTTTGAGACCAGCCTGAACAACATAAAAAGACCACCTCTCTATAAAATAAGATAAAATAAAATAAAATAAAATAAAATAAAAAAAATAGCTGGGCATGGTGGTGCACATCTGTAGTCCCAGCTACTTAGAAGGCTGAGATGGAAGGATTGCTTGAGCCCGGAAGGCCCAGGCTGCAGTGAGCCATGCTTATGCCACTGCCAGTCAGCCTGGGTGACAGTGAGACTCATATATATGTATACATTTAAATATATGTATACATGGGTGAGACTCATATATACAGATATGTATATATTTGTACGTATGAGATAAGCTGGTGAGAATGAGGTCATTGAAGCAGATATCCTGTTCCTTGCCAATTAAGTCAGTGATGAATTCCATAGTTAATACCACCATGAAAATGTCCTCCTCTATACCTGGCTTCTCTTCAGAGAGAAAAATTCCTAATTTTATAATTTTTTTTATTTTCAACTAAGGGATTAATACAATAATTAAGGGATTAAATATTTAATATTTATTGTTTCAGTACTTCTCTCTTGCTATGTCCATTAATTCCATTGCTCATTGTTAATTTGTTGTTAATTACATTAAAATCAGTTCTTCTGTAGGATCATGTCATATTGATCTTTATGAAATCAGAGCAATCATTTTTCAAATGATTCAGCTGGCAATTTTCATACTAACAAATATTTTAGTTTTTTATAAGAGCCACAGGTGATAACTTTCCATATTCAAAAGAATACCCAGTGAAGTCTAGTGTTCTCAGATGCAGTTACGGACAGTTTTCCTTTCACTGTTTTCACTTGTTGCTTCACCCTAAACTTCAATTTATGTACACATTACAGTCCCCAATTAGGAGACTAACAGGATGTTGAAGAATGGCATTGGCAGGACATTTCTGAATTCAGTAGCAGGAATGAACTCAAAACCAGCAGTACTGAGTCAGTTCTTGTTCTCTTCTGACTGAATTCGTGTTCATGGAAATGTTTCTGCAAGACTGAGTGGTCACAGTGTCAGAAGGCTCCTCAGGTTTTGCCTCTTCACACATGTCCATTTCCCCTTTGACCTTCTGCCATGTCAAGATACAGCTGGAAAGCCCTCACCAGAAGCTGAGCAGATATCAGTGCCTGCTTTTGGAACTTCCCAGCCTGCAGAAACATTAGGTCTTTATAGATTGTCCAGCTTCAATATTATGCAGCCTTAAAAAGGAACAAGATCATGTCCTTTGCAGGGACATGGATGAAGCTGGAAGCCATTATCCTCAGCAAACTAATGCAGGAACAGAAAACCAAACACCACGTGTTCTCGCTTATAATTGGGAGGTGAACAATGAGATCACATGGACACAGGGAGGGGAACAACACTTAGCGGGCATGTTGGGGCAGGACGGGGGTGGGAGAGCATTAGAGAAAAGAGTTGATGCATGCTGGGCTTAATATCTAGGTGATAGGTTGATAGGTGCAGCAAACCACCATGGCACACATTAACCTATGTAACAAACCTGCATATCCTGCACATGTACCCCAGAACTTAATAAATAAATAAATAATACATTTTTAAAAGATCCACATGATCAAAAATGCAAAAAAAAATAAATTATCCAACTTCAGGTATTCTTTTATAGCAACATAAAATGGACTAAGACAAAACTCTGTGGTGAAATCTCCAATTATTTGTAAGATGAAGTCGTAGAAATGGGTGAAGTCCAAAAAGCAGGTTATAATCTATATAAACATTTAAGACTTTTATTAATATTGACAAAGTCCCCTACAAAATGCATGCACCAATGTAAGCTCTCACTAGCATTAAACGAGACTGCTCGTAACTTTGCACACATTATAATTCTATGTAACAATTTACAAAAGCAAAATGTGGCCAATTTGAAATGCAAAATAGAGCACTTGTTATTCATTTTACCATAGTACTATACTAAACTTACGTTTTTGTTTAAATGTGAGGCTGAATTTTTTATATATGATAATCTGGTTTTTAAAATTATTTTTATCTTTTTTATAAAACAGTAAAAGTATTAAATTTTTTTCTACTGTTTATATTGCAAATAGACTTTAAAGTTTTTAATCTATTATTTACCTTTCTATATTTATTTTCTTGAGGCATTCAGAAATTCTTCCAGTCATGCTATTAAATGCATTCATTTTAAATGTACTCTGCCTTTAATATCATGTTTAAACATGTCTTCCCAACTTTCAAGATTACAAAACAATTCTTGGTATTTTCTCTGTTTGATTGTTTACTTTTTCAATTCTATATTTAATCCTCTTATTTACTTTGGAAGAAGAAGTATGTTACACATTTGTCTTATTTCAAATTGCAATATTGTTGTTACAATACTAATTATTGCAGGGTTAATTTTTCTTCACATATTTAAGATGGAAAAATCTATCTCACACAATATATTTGTAAACAAAAAAAGATATTTATAAACTCTATAATTTTTTTGTTGCACTGGAGTTTCCTCATTCTTTCATGATGTTATTCTATGCCACTCTTTAAAGAGAAGTGTTGGAGGACATGAAAGGTGAGAGGATAGACATGTAACTATTTGTTGGACACCTAACTTAGGATGGACAGATTATATTATTTTTATCAGCAAATGTGAACTCATCAGTCTTTTCCTTAATGACATGTGCTTCCTCAAATTAAAGGCAGTAGAGTCTTATTTTGATTTTCTTGTAAAAGTTTTAAAGAATTGTTTTCAAATCTAAAGTGATAGTACATCTAATGTAGTTTTTCTGTTTGTTGTGAGTTAGAAATACAATTTTGTCCCAATATTAAATGACAGAGGTCTCAATATCATTAGTTGAACAGTCTACGTTTTTTTTTTGTTGATTTCTAATGCCAAATCTATCACGTACGGAGGTTCCTATGTGAT
This sequence comes from Homo sapiens, assembly GCF_000001405.40. Classification (NCBI taxonomy): domain Eukaryota; kingdom Metazoa; phylum Chordata; class Mammalia; order Primates; family Hominidae; genus Homo; species Homo sapiens. The sequence continues at coordinate 118,439 of NW_003571050.1, forward strand.
AAGAATAAACAATCTGGTCTCACCAGACCTGTCTTTAGTTTGATCTGCTGACCTATTACTTATTATATACATTTTATTTCTGTGTCACAACCTTCATTGTTTTGATTTTTTTAATAATTTTTTTGAGACACGGTCTTGCTCTGTCTCAAAAAATATTAAAAAAATTTTTTTAATCTTTTTTTTTTTTTTCCTGACAGAGTCTTGCTCTGTAGCCCAGGCTGGAGTGGCTCAATTAAGGCTCACTTCAGCCTTGACCTCCTGGGCTCAAACAATCCTCCTGTTTGATTCTCTGTGTAGCTAAGACTACAGTTGCCACTATACCCAGCTACTTTTTTGATGCTTTTAGAGACAAGGTCTCACTGTGTTGCTCAAGTGGGTCTTGAATGCCTTAACTCAAGTGATCTTCCCATCTCAGCCTCCCAACATGCTGGGATTACAAGTATGAGCCACTAAATAAATAATTTAAATAAGTCTTGCTATCTACTGGATACCCCTACCTTAATTTTCTTTTTCAAGAATTGTCTGAATTATTTTTGAATACTTAATTCATGTGTAATTTAGGACTGTTTTGTCAATTTGAAAATAAATTTCTTTAAGATTCTGGTTAGAATTATATTGAATATGTGAATTAATTTGAGCATAATCAATGTCTTTGAAAATTAATTTTTGCATATCTATATAGTTCAAATCCTTCACTAAAGTATTATAGTTATGTAATTTCACAATATATAACATCATGAAACACTTTTCTGAGACTTAGTCATAATCAAAATATAGTTCTTATTTGTAATAAGAAAGGGAATTTTTTTAATTCCACATTTTAATGGACCAGTGCTGGTGAATAGGTGTAATTTTAGCCCATATATATTGATATTGTACTCAGCAAGCTTATCAAATTTGTGTTATTTCAAAAGTTTTCCTGTTGATTTTTAAATTATCTAGGTGGAATTACTACTATTAGTATATAATTTCTTTAAATTTCCATCCAAATTTCTATGTAACAATATTTTTGTCAAAGTGTATTAGTTAAATGACCTAACGAAATTGTCAATAAACAAGTATCTTTGTCTTAATCTTGATTAAATGAAAAGCTCTATGTTACACTAATAACTATGCTTCTGTATTTGTTTAGTAGACATACAAGTTATTAAATGTTGCTTCTATTTAAACTTGGTTTGGGTATTTATCTTGATTAGGAGTTAAATTAGATTAAACATTTTTGCAACATCTGTTGAGATAATTTTATGTAAATTAAAATTATTTACTTTCTAGTTTTAAATTATCTTCAAATTCTTAGAATGAATCTTTTCATTTGTAATATATTTTAAGTATATATTATGAGACTAATTTACTTTTACACTTTTTTTTAGCAGTTTTGTGCCTGTATCTAATTGCCTACCTTCTCATTATTTGCTGTCCTCTACTGTTTTTACTCACTTTGAGAATAATTTTTTAACTTCTTAAAATAAATGAGAATAAAACATTTAGGTTCACTGAAGTAGTTTGGAGAAGGTAAAAATTATGACATTTTTAAACTTAGTAAAAGTTTTTTATAAATCCATCTGAATTTGATATCTTGTGTATATTTTGATAGTCCATTCAAAATCTTTGAAATTGTTGATTTATTAAAGTTTTTTACTACTAATATAAATTTTTGTTAACCTATGCTTTTTAAAAACTTGGCAATTTCAACTGAGTTTTTAAATTTTGGAATAAAATTATTTAGAACTTTGATTATATAAAGCTCTGCTATTTAGTATTTTCTACATTTCATCAATTTTTCTGCTTCTCGTATTTCTTGATCAGTACCATCAGACTTTTGAATTTCCTAATCTTTAAAAGATTTTGGTTGTACTACCATTGTCTATTATATTTTGATTTTCTATTTATTTATTCATTCATTTATTTATTTACTACTTTGATTTTGGTTGACATCCAAAAGCATAATTACTGCCCTTCAGACAAATTCTAACTTTTCCTTTTGCTGAGTCTATGACTTGGGAAATTTACTTAACCTTGCTATCCCTTGGATTTTTGTTTGTTTAGTTTTTGAGACAAGGTCTCACGCTGTCACCCGGGGCTGGAGTGCAGTGGTGCGATCTTGGCTCACTGTAGTTTTGACCTCGCAGGCTCAAGTGATCCTTCCACCTCAGCCTCCCTAGTAGCTGGGACTACAAAGGTGCACCACCATACCCGGCTAATTTTTGTATTGTTTGTAGAGGGCAGTGGGGTCTCACCATATTGCCCAGGCTTGTCTCGAACTCCTGAACTCAAGCATCCACCTGTCTTGACCTCCCAATGTTCGGGGATTACAGGCAGGTGCCACAGCACCCTGTCATGCCTCTGATTCTTTAAAAACCAAAGGGAATGAGACTGTTTTTAGGAATAAATATAAAATAAATAGCACACCTAAACCACCTAGAACAGTACCATGTACTAAGTAAGCGCAAGGTACATATTAGCTCCTTCTTAACTTATTCACCCTTCTTTAAATTTTTCTGTTGTTCATTTTTCTTAACTGAAGGTGAATATGTGCCTCATTCATCTGGAAAACTTTTTTATAAAACATGTACTAATGGATATGGATTCTTAGCTTTAGCCGGTTTTTTCATTTTGATTGTGAAAAGCTTTTTCGTTGCTGAGTTCTAAACATTTATCTTTTATGTAGAAATGTTCATCTTTTTCTCAGTTATAGAGAATAGTTCAATTTTCAAACTTTTTTGATTGATTTAACATTTTACTACTTTACATTCTACGTAATACTTATTCCATGGAATCTGTTCTTTGTTATAGTGTACATGGTTTAGGTGTGTAAATGTTTCATGTGTATTTGAATGTTTGTGTCCAGATTTCTGTCAAGTACAGATTTCTACATAAAAGTATTGAATTAATTTTTGCTAATTGCATTCTTAAAATATTCCATATCATTCTTTCTTCTGCTTGATATGGCAGTTTATTAAGTGTGTCTTACATTCTTATTATTTGTGGATTCTTCAGTTTCTGTTTGTGAGGCTTCTGCTTTATCTATTTACGTAATGCATTGTTAGGTATGTCCAAATTCATGATTATTGCATCTTTTCCATGAATTTTTTCTTTTTCTTTTTTTTGAGACGGAGTCTCGCTCTGTCGCCCAGGCCGGACTGCGGACTGCAGTGGCGCAATCTCGGCTCACTGCAAGCTCCGCTTCCCGGGTTCACGCCATTCTCCTGCCTCAGCCTCCCGAGTAGCTGGGACTACAGGCGCCCGCCACCGCGCCCGGCTAATTTTTTGTATTTTTAGTAGAAACGGGGTTTCACCTTGTTAGCCAGGATGGTCTCGATCTCCTGACCTCATGATCCACCCGCCTCGGCCTCCCAAAGTGCTGGGATTACAGGCGTGAGCCACCGCGCCCGGCCCTTTTTTTTTTTTTTGAGACAGAGTTTTGCTCTTGTTGCCCAGGCTGGAGTTCAATGGTGTGATCTTGGCTCAGTGCCACCTCTGCCTCCCAGGTTCAAGTAATTCTCCTTCCTCAGTCTCCTGAGTAGCTGGGATTACAGGCACACGCCACCATGCACAGCTAATTTTTTTGTATTTTTAGTAGAGATGGGGGTTTCACCACATTGGCCAGGCTGGTCTTGAACTCCTGACCTCAGGTGATCTGCCCGCCTTGGCCTCCCAAAGTGCTGGAATTACAGGCGTGAGCCAACATGCCCAGCCTTCGATGAATTGTTTTATTCTTACTACTCTGTAATCACCTGTCTTTAACTGTTACTGTTGTTTACTTTAAATGTTATGTGATTATTAGTTATAATTCAGTTAAATATGACAAATATAAACAAGCAATTGAATATATGCATGTGGAAGAGCATCTATCTTTCACATAACTAAAAAATACATAGGAAAGTTTTTGTGGCACAAATTGTCCAAGGGAATAGTGTGATTCTATCACCAACAAATGATAGGATAATAGACATTAGGCATAAGTAGCAGTTACTGTGCTCATTAGTTAGTGGTAGATTCTACCCATTTATTTTCTGTCACTGTGGTTTTCTGCTTTAGGTATGCCTCTTGAAAGCAGAACATAGTCGTGTTTTGTTTTCTTATTTATTCTCTGTCTTTTGATAGATCAAGCAAATTTATTTAAATTCATGAACATTTCTGATAACATTGAACTTGCTTTTACTGTCTTATTAAAATTTTGCTAGTTATCACTCTCTTTTCACTCTTTTTTTGCTTTGAGATTAAAGTGATAAGTTCTTTTTATTCATTTCTCCATCTGTTTTTTTTTTTTTTTTTTTTTTTGAGACGGAGTCTCGCTCTGTCGCCCAGGCTGGAGTGCGATCTCAGCTCACGGCAAGCTCCGCCTCCTGGGTTCACGCCATTCTCCTGCCTCAGCCTCCCGAGTAGCTGGGACTACAGGCGCCTGCCACCACGCCCAGCTAATTTTTTGTATTTTTAATAGAGACGGGGTTTCACCGTGTTAGCCAGGATGGTCTCCATCTCCTGACCTCATGATCCACCCGCCTCGGCCTCCCAAAGTGCTGGGATTACAGGCGTGAGACACGGAGCCCAGCCTCATTTCTCCATCTATTCTAAGTTTCTATTTTTATATAACAAATCATTCCCCAAATTGCAGGCTTAAAACAGCAGTTTATTACTTTTTTCCTCACGATTCTGTGAATTGCCTGGACTTAGTGGATAGTCTCTCATTGTGGTATTTCATGTAGTTGCCATCAGATAAGGGATGGGACCACAGTCATCTGAAGGCTCAAATGGGATGAACATCTACAATGATCCAACTCAATGGCTGACATAGGGAGGATTCCCTCTTTTTCTACTGATTGGAATAGTTTCAGAAGGAATGGTACCAGCTCCTCCTTGTAACTCTGGTAGAATTCGGCTGTGATTCCGTCTGGTCCTGGACTTTTTTTGGTTGGTAGGCTATTAATTATTGCCTCAATTTCAGAGCCTGTTAGTGGTATACTCAGGGATTCAAATTCTTCCTGGTTTAGTCTTGGGAGGGTGTATGTGTCGAGGAATGTATCCATTTCTTCTAGATTTTCTAGTTTATTTGCATAGAGGTGTTTATAGTTTTCTCTGATGGTAGTTTGTATTTCTGTGGAATCAGTGGTGATATCCCCTTTATCATTTTTTGGGGGGTCTATTTGATTTTTCTCTCTTTTCTTCTTTATTAGTCTTGCTACTGGTCTATCAATTTTGTTGATCTTTTCAAAAAAACCAACTCCTGGATTCATGGATTTCTTGAAGGGTGTTTTGTGTCTCTATCTCCTTCAATTCTGCTCTGATCTTAGTTGTTTCTTGCTGTCTGCTAGCTTTTGAATGTGTTGGAGAGCAGTTTCTCATAAAAGCTTGTGGATTCAACTGTAAAAGTGGCAATCCACTCTGACTCCCCTCTCCACTGCAGAGAGCTTTCTTCTTTCACTTATTAAACTTTTGCTCCAACCTCACCCTTTTGTGTCCACACTCCTTAATTTTCTTGGTCATGAGACCATGAGCTCAGATAACACCTTAGTAATAATATCAATGACCCGGACCTGTTTTGGTAACACCAGCTCTGGGGCCAGGACACAGGGGCACTCTCAGGCAGAAGACTGAAATCTGTGCAAGTGGTATACAAATTTATCCCTTCATACACAAATCTCAGGCCAGTCTCTCTCTTGGACTTCTAAAATTTTACATTCATTGTGATGAGAATCAACATTTTTGGTTCATTTCAAAGGACAGGCTCAAGTTTTGCCAATGCTAATATGGCTCAGCAGAAAAATGCATGTGGCTTGTATTAAGAAAGCACATAAAGGATCTACATTGACTGGGTTTTCATAATCACAAAAAACGAATAAATTTGTATGAGTATCTTTATATGAAGGCAAGGAGGAAAACAGGTGAATGGAAGCCTACGTAAATGTGCTTATGATTTAAAACAAACTTATTTCCTCAGGAAAAATATATTTTTCACCTCACCTGTTAAAGTCTTAGGAAAGCTTAACCTTGATAATCTCCTAATAACAGAACTTATGTTTCTTTTCTGAACCTCATTCCTTCTCATATTGTAATAATGAAATGAATAAATGAATAGCAAGTGAGTAGTGGTGCACACTAAACTCTGAGTACTGACTGCCTTCTATTCCACTTAATACCTTTATAAGAACATTGTTATGTACCTAAGTCATGTCATCTATAAAACTAAGGTAATGATAACAATCATATGTCCCTAATATAATGGTTTTGATGATTAAGTGGAACATAGTAAATGTTTAAAAATGTTTTCTATTATAACCAATTTGGCTAGGATAGGTGGAAAGAATAGAAATATGATAATTAATTGTGAAATGTATAATATATATTAATAGGTCATCAACATCAAATTAAAAAATATAGATGATTACCATGATAGTGAAACCAAAGTTTTTAGACAAGTCAAAGCAAAGTTGAAGTCTCAGAGACCATTGTGTTTATTTGCTAACTGTATTATCAGACTGCTTAGTTGATACAGTGAATACAATAATTCTTCCAATGTACATAAACTGCCAGACAAGCAACTCAATGCAATTCACTCACTCTCGGAGAAGTTTATCCCCTCTGCCAATGTTCATCTTTCCTGGCAAACCATCCTTCAGTATTCCAGGCAAACTAGAGCAAGGTGAAGTTGAAGAAGATCCTACTTTATATTCCATTCAGAGAGCTTCCGGGTCTTCAAAAAAGATTTAGTCATGTGGGTGTGAAAGAGCTGAGTCATGAAATTTGGACCTTATTGTAAGTCCAGAAGGAAAAACAAGGGGTTTGAAGCACAAGGGTGATATGATCTAATTTCTACTTTTAAATGATCACTCTGATTGTCGTGAGGGAACTGATATGGGATGTACTGGGGGAAGAATGTTACCAGGACCAGGTCGAGGCTGTTAAAGACCTCCAGGAGAGAGCATTGTGGGCCGAACAACAAGCTTCTAGTAAAGATCATGCAAGTGGACACATTTGAGATGTATTTTGAAGGTGGAAGAAATTAGATAAGCTAATGGGTAGTGCCTGGAGGGAGTGAGGATTTTTGAACCACTAGGTAAACACCTGTGAGTAACAGAGAAAAAGTTGGGATGTGTTATGAAAGATGAATCCTAAAATTTCATATGTTGAAGACTGATGCTTCAGGACCTCAGAATGTGAACATCCATAGTAGAAGGGAATTGTGTTGTTGACGGCTGCCACCCACTCTAGGTGCCCAAGCTCCTGCAGCAGTCCTACTTCTCCCTTTCACCCACACTCACTCCCAGACAGTGTCCCTTTCAGCTCTTCCATCACCCCTTCTTTTGATTTGGCTGGTGAGAGCATAGCTGGTATTTATACTTTCTTGATATGCTAGTCTCTTTTGCTGATTGTTGACATTGGAGAAGGTCATGGAAGGGACCTGAGCTGAGCGACCTTTAGGAGCATTTCCTGTTCTTTTCCTGTACTCTGCTGCCAAGGAGAAATCTGTCTTTCACCAGGCTTGCAGCTTTCTCCGTTACCCACATCATCAGGCAATATCTGTCTGGCACCCCTCTTTGTTCCCTTTCTCTGGCCTTCCTTTTTGACATGATGGTTGACCTGAAATCACCAAGGCAGGACTGCTCATCTCCAGGTCTAATGGAAAACAGTATCTGGTGAAACCAAAGAAAATAATCCCAGTAACCCACTGGGAGCTGCTTGGCTTAAGCACCTACCCTGTGCCTAAGATACAACCCATCAAGCCCAGCTAAAACTGATCCAGTTTCCACAGGGCCAGAGAAGAATTGCCAATTAAGAATGCATTCCCACTTCAAATATGTCTATATTTATTTCAGGGAAAATATCAGTCTGCCTGGGTCCCTTATGAGAACATTGTTGTCTGTAGAAAAATCTAATCTATTAGGAAGCCTTCTTGTTTTGTTATCTGCAACTCTTCAGAAGGGCCAGACCAGACCCTCGTATGCACAGTACAGGATCCACCCATGCACATCTGTCTAGGGCCTTGTCTTTATGATTTTCTGTCACATGGCCTCTCAGCCATGCCTCCAACCAAGCTATCCTCAAATAAACACTAGCCGTGCACAAAAAGTGAAAAATTACACAAGGCCTACACAAGGTCTGAAATGGAAAGTGCAGCTGGTGATACCGAGTAGTATATTTTATGAATTGAGGAACAGGGAATTTCTAGGTATCACAGAGCAATCAGCAGCTGAGAAGAGGAGTACCAATCCAGGACCCTGGAAGGATTTTTCAGAAACTTAATAGTTTATTGTCCAATTGTAGAGACAAAAATGAAAATAAAGATAGTGAGGAGTACCATACACCATTGCTTAGAAGATTAAATAAATGTCATCTCCCACAAGTCATGTGGGGAGAAAAAAACTATATAGGAAGAAAATTACAAACGACAAGGTAGTCTCAGCATATAAAATATCAACAAATGAATGTAAGAAAGAGAATGAGAAAGAATTAGTATTAGAATATCATAGAAAAAATCATCTTTGTGAAAGAAAACTCTGATGAAACTGGTGACATAAATACTGAGTAAAAAACAGAAGACCAATCAAGGCATTTGAGGCTTGAACAGGCATTACAAATCATCAAGTTGAATATATAAGTATGGCCACTTAGTTATTAGTGGTGAAGACTACGGTATTTGTTAGAAGAAATAAAGTAGATGATGAATTCTATAGAATATTCTGGAGAAAGTGGAGGTCTTAGCTACATGACATCGTGTGGCTCACTTTGGGAACCATGTTTCAGTTTGTTTAGGTCTAGAAATTCCTTGGTGGTTTCTGTGTTCAGTTTTGCTTTAATAATCCCTAAAGATATTTTTTAAAATACAAATTTTTTAGCTTTCCTGTATTGTACAGCACCAACGCTTGCCTGAGTGTAGTGAGATTCACAGAGTTTGGAAATTTCCTGTAGCATGAGGAGGCTGCGGGGCAGCCTTCTGTCATCTATGTGTACCCAGCAGTGTGCTGTCCTCACACAACTCACGGATAAGCAGAAAGCATCTCTATTACATGAAAAATTTAGCTAAATATACAAATATCCATGCACACACATCATGAGAGATGGAAATAGGCTATCAAAAGAGTCAGACATATTGACCGTCTTCACTGTTAGCTGTAGGATTGCTGCCCAACCCCCTGACACACCCACACAAACTCACATACACACAAATGAAAAGCACAGTGGAAAGCAGAATAGCAGTCTTTCCAAACAGATTGAAAAACAAATGATGTCTAAAGTTCAATCCTGACACTGTGCTGATTGCTTGGACACAGTTCCGTCAAAACATTTGTCCAAGTCATAGTTGTACCTTTTAGAAATTAGCCACAAACAACATCCTCCCCAACCCTTCCTGCTAGGCTAGAGTCCCAGAAGAAATGAGGGATACACTTGACCTGAAGTAAGCAAAGCAGAACCCAGTCTCTGAGGCGAGGAGGCCCACCTGGTAGGGAGCTCAAATGCGCCATTGTCCTGCTTGTCTTTATAAAGGGAGCTGACACGTTTCTCCCAGCATAAAGTTGGGAGTGACACCAGAGCCTTCTGCAAGATGCTTCTGATTCTGCTGTCAGTGGCCCTGCTGGCCTTCAGCTCAGCTCAGGACTTAGATGAAGGTAAGCCGAATTGGGGGAAGATATTGTGACTCTGATTGGGGTTTACGGGCGAATGCTATAGAGGGGGAAAGTGGAGGGAAGAGAGGAGGATGAGAAAACAGATAGGACTGAAGAGTTCTCATGCCAAGGATCAGAAGACCTGTTGTGCCTTCATTCCTCATCAAGACCTCATAATTTATTGATTGCACAAATAGAACCCAATAAAGAATTTGTACCGGGGGAGTGAGAGAGTGAGATTTGCATTTATAGAGACATGGGACTGCTGGGAAGGATATGGAGAATGCAAGACAGATTCAGGGAAGTGCAGCTGTGAAGATCCTATACTGATCCCAGTAGACAGGGATGATGGTGGCCTTGCTGGACAGTGGATGAGTATCCATGAAGGAGATAAACACATGTCAGAGCTATTGCTGAGGCAGAGAATTGGGTAAACACTTGCCTCTGTCTACATAGAGTTAGAGAATCACCAGAGTGAAATATTGTCATTTTTTTCTCTCCTGCATGTAGTATTTTAATGTGCTGGGACGGGCATTTGTAAGATTGTATCTAAGTGGCTATGTCTGGTGGCTCCTGTTGAGAAAGCTTGCAAACATAAACAACATATTTACAGATGAAAGAGGGCAGAAGGATCCCCAAATATTTCATTGAAATACTCAAGAGCCCTTTAACTAAATAAGCACTAAGGCTTAAGGAATCATGAGAGGACAAACAGGGGCCCTTCTATGTTGAGTTCCTGGTTGACGCTCAGTGTAGTAACAATCCTGCTTTCCCTTACATCTTCTTCCACTTCCGGTAGCATCAGAGAGTGGCTGATGAGATCTCAAAGGGGATGCACAGGGTGTGATCAGAGGTCCTTTATCCTCGTAGAACACTATGAGCTCTGAATGATTCATGCAGTAACTTTTCCCATCATCCTGTACTTCTTTTCTAGATGTCAGCCAAGAAGACGTTCCCTTGGTAATATCAGGTAAATCCCAATAAATTCTCAGTAAACTCTGTCTCCATTTTTCCCTGAAAAATTGATCAGTTCTCCAGTGTCTTCTTATCATCCTTGTCAGGAATTGGCTAATATCAGTGCCCCAGAGATATAAACAGTTTTCTCCCAACCTTGATTCTGGGGACCATGAGTAAAGAAATTTGATTTTTCACCACCCTAATGTGGATTAAGAGGAGTTCTAATTAGGAAGCCTTGGGAAGGGGGGAGGTTGGGAGTTGAGAGGCAGGTCAGGGAGAGAGGGGCCGGCCGTGTGGTGAAGACAGAGAGATATGAAGACAGGAGGGTTTTCCAGCATGAGCTCAGCTCTTCTTGTTTCAACTCACACAGATGGAGGAGACTCTGAGCAGTTCATAGATGAGGAGCGTCAGGGACCACCTTTGGGAGGACAGCAATCTCAACCCTCTGCTGGTGATGGGAACCAGAATGATGGCCCTCAGCAGGGACCACCCCAACAAGGAGGCCAGCAGCAACAAGGTCCACCACCTCCTCAGGGAAAGCCACAAGGACCACCCCAACAGGGAGGCCATCCCCCTCCTCCTCAAGGAAGGCCACAAGGACCACCCCAACAGGGAGGCCATCCCCGTCCTCCTCGAGGAAGGCCACAAGGACCACCCCAACAGGGAGGCCATCAGCAAGGTCCTCCCCCACCTCCTCCTGGAAAGCCCCAGGGACCACCTCCCCAAGGGGGCCGCCCACAAGGACCTCCACAGGGGCAGTCTCCTCAGTAATCTAGGATTCAATGATAGGTATGATTCCAGTTTATTATCCATCAAAGGCTCCAACTGCTACAGTTCTCCAACTTCATTGTGCCAGTGAATCTATTGAAAAGCTGTTAATATTTCCGTGTCCTGGAACACATTTCTCATGAGTTTTGTTCAAATATTCTGGGATAAGGTAGCAAGATCTTGTTTTTAAACAATCTCTTGAAGGCAATTCCAATTTTGAGAATCACTATCTTCAAATTACCTCTCTTAAATAGGGTTGGGAATGAGGACATAGAATCATGTTCTCCCTTTGGCACTCTGTTTCCTTTCCTCAAACTCAAAGACTCCCATTTATTTAAAGTTTTACCTGAACACTCCTTGTTCAGGACAGGCTCAGTCCTGCCTCACACTAGCATTTCAAGTCCAGTATTCCTGCTAAATGGTCCTTGGACTTTTAGCTGTTAAATGGTATCTCATTTTTTAAAACACATTTCACATTTAAAGTCATACATGCTTAAGCTAACAAAAACTAATCTCACTGAATAGACATGTACCAAGCTAAATAGCAATTCATTTCTCCTCCCCTCTACCCTTACCAAAACTCCCACTTTTTACTGTTTGGAAACTCCTCTTTGAAATATTTATTGCTACATAACTATATATAATTTTCCCACCACTAATACCACACTTTATATTCAGTTCTGTGTCTTACTTATTGGAAAAATTTATTTCTTAGCTTTCACATGAGTTTATTTAGATCTCTTCAGTGTTTATTGGTTAGTTTTTTTTTTTACAATTATATATGATGCTATTGTTTGGTTTTTCCATAATTTACTTAACCAATCCTTGTCACTGAACATTAAGGCTGCTTTCACACTGTCCCTATTACAGGATATGTTGCAGTCCCCATCTTTCTGAAAATAACCCTTAACGTATCCAACAGCCACAAAGCATGAACAACCTAACAATAATCGTTTTTCGTCCTCATCTAAGCAACAGTTTAAAGCACATTACGTGCAATGGCATAGAAAGTGTGAACAAAGAAAATGATATTAAGGAGGGGGGCTGTAGAAGGGATAGAGGGCAAAAGGATGGTTTTGCATCTTCCTCACCGCAGTAAACCAATGAGGTATTAGACATTTCCTGCCATGTCAAGTCTTGCCTATAATCTTCCTTGTCTTTTTCAGGAAGTGAATAAGAAGATGACAGTGTTTCAAATGCCTTGAAACATAATGTGATCATGCTCTAACTTCAATATACCAATAAAATAATCAGCTTGCAATTTCTGATTATAGCATCTCCTTCTGAGTGTTTGGGACTCTGGAATCTGAGACCCATGTTCACATTGTAAGAACATCCAGGACCCCTTCTCCTTGATGTTTCCAGCAAGCTTCTTTCCTCCTTATCCTTATTAAGTCATCTGCCTGGGGAAGGAGTTCCACTGTTTCTTTCCTTCTCTGTCTTCTTAGCTCGAATTTAAATTGCACAATTATTTTCAGGTCATTTCCTGATAGTCTAGTCAGCTTATGAATGTAAGCAAAACAGGACCAATGAAAGAAAGTCCCAGAAGCTGAGAGAAACTTTAACAAGTTTGAGAGTAACTTATTTTGTTTTCTAGGAAAGTGAGTATGGTTCTATGCCTGTATTCCCCAGAAGCCACTAGACCTATTTTCCCCTATTTTATCACTGATCAGTTCTGTCCCTGCCTATGATTCTTACCATTCTTAAGAAAACCTGAATGGATTTCATCAAGGCGGCAGCATAATTTGAAGGGCAATTGCGTGTGAAAATTGATGTGACTTGATTTACACAATAGTCAGAAAACATTTTAGAAATTGATGACTTTATAATGCAACCAGGAGTATTGAAAAAAAAGTAAGCAATGAGCTCAAATAATTAAAAAAGAGAGACAAAATACACTTGGGAGAACAGAAATAAGAATTAATGAAAATTTAAAAGATTAAATGAATGAGAAGAAATGATTCATAAATTTTGAACTAACAGTAATAACTTCTTGAAAATCCAATAAAATTGGCAAAAGATTGTGAAAATTCTGGAAGAATAAGGGAAACAGATAATCTTCAGAGTAATCAGGTAAAGCTTAAACAAGTGTTTTAAAAGATGAGTTTTTCCTACATTCTGAAAAGCAAACATGAAAAACTGAACACAGTTTTTACAGATATACAATATGGAGTGACTTATATACAAAATGACCTTAAAAATATATTAAACTCATTATAGTAGTTAATATCTAAGTAAAATATGATGAAATTTAATAGAGAATTCACTCCTCCCAAAAGCACCTTCATGGAAGATTCCTCATTAACAGGCAGTCCTTTAGTATGCTGATTTATACAAAATGCTGAAAAGAAGAGAAATACCCCAAGTTCTTGAAAAAAAATTTTTTGATATGACTACTCTAACAGTAATAACTATAAATCTCACTTTAAATAATTTAAAACAAATTAAAGTGATATATGAGTTAAATGACCAAGCAGACTTGATTCCAGGAATGTTAAGGAATGTTCATTATTTGTTTTGGATAATGAAGTCAGCAGAGGAAAAAAAAATATGACCATCTCAAAAGATGCCAACGTTGTCTTTGATAATATTTAATATATTTTTTAAAAAACAATTCTTGTAAAATACTTTTTTGATTAGCCTTCTGACCATGATTAAAATGGTGTACCTCAAAGTAGCTGCTAACCTTATGTGTATCTGCAACACCCTGAAAAATTATCTAATAAAAAGGCACAAAGAAAAAGCTTGTCAATGTTGTGGATAATTAGAAAGTGAATAATTTTATTTAATATTAGATAAACAAGCACATAACAGAGATACATATATTCAAATGGAAGGAGTAAAATTACCACCACATGCAGATCTGTTTTTCTGTCCAGAAAATAACAAGAGATTCTACTCAGGTAAAAAAGGAAAGGAAGGAAAACCATTGTAATTAAAATAAAATTTAATACAATAGCCGTTTATTAATTCAACTTCTAAAGAATCTTTGTGATTACACAATGACCAGCTAGTAAATATAATAAGAAAATGATTATTCACAAAGGAACCAAAAGGCCTAGTCTTCGAATTTTTAATGCCATTGTGATAGCAAGCATCTGATTATTTTACTCTAAGTTATTTCCACTTCTGATTTTAAGAACAGCTTCTTTCCCAGGGATGGGTTCCCCCTAGTGATGTATTCTCTTCACCACAAGAGTTTGCAGCTCTGGCTTTCTTTCTGCTCATCTGTAAAGATAACTACAGCTCCTCTATAAACCATCTCACCATTATTACCGAAATCAGACAAATTCTGGAGATAGTCAAAGCTGTGAGGATTCGAAGATCTCTTTCACATCTTGACCCAGTCAATTCCGTTCACCAGTGTTATGAATCCATTCCCCAAAATTCCAATTAGGAATTATATATTTATTATTATAATGAGGATACTATACAAGGCATTTAGCATGGCTGCAAAGAGAGAGCTCCAATGTCTAAATGCAACGCTGACAATTTCTTCATCTATCACATGTACCTGTTATACATACTTATTAATTGGATGTGCAGTTAATTTCTTCCTTTAAAAAAAAAACTATAGGCTCAATATGAAAGTAGAAAGCACTAAGGTGTACTAATGAATGGGCACATAGCTTTTTTCACAAAAAGATTATTTTGCCCCAGACAGCTATCTGCATTCTGATCCAGATACTGTATGTTCTTAACATAAAGTGAAATTTCTCATACTTCATGATGAAAGAAAAAACTGAATTCTCATTGTTAATAAACAAATAAAGACAATTCTCTGCATCATTGTGCATGTTTGCTTTATCTAATCTCTTCACAATTTGCTTATTAATTTTAATTGTTATCAATTGCATTAAAATTCAATGGATAGAAGTATAACATATAGCAAATATGTAAATTAGTAGATGGAGTATATTGAGCACTAAAATCATCTCCACTGAGGAATGCTGAGGGAAGACTGAGGGGATATTTTCATAGTTTATCCAAAGCTCTTATAATTCAAAGCATTGAAATTTACTGAATGAATCCAGAGGAGCCATAACTCCTGAATGCTGAGTGCTGATAATTTACATTTATTTATCAATTAATTGTTTGCAAGTTCCCGTATACACACACTTTGCAGAATAACCTTATAGGATTATTGTCCAGGAATGACTGCTGTCTTTTTGGCAATAAGAATATAGGGCTCAGGAAATCACATGGATTCAAAATCTTCGATTTTCTAATAATTAATTCTTGCTTCCTTCATTAATATTTATTAAGCTTATCCTGACATTAAAAAATATTATATATCAAAATATTTTAAAAACATAATTACCCTTGATATTCTCTAATACTTAACTGAAAATATCCAGGAACATTTGAGAACCATTTACAGGGCTTATGAAAACTGATAGAACTCTATATTAATCCCACACAGCAGCCTCTTTGTTAAAGCCAGATAGGGACAATATTGAGAATGCAGAGGAACATCTGCAGAGCATGAATTGTCCTCATTTTGTACTTCTCCTCTACTCAGTAATACCCACTCCCCTAGAGTTATCAAAGGTTGGGTTTTATTCAGCTTCCCCACACCTCTGCTGAGCAACATCTGTTCTATGGCTGTTAAATCTTACTCCAAAGTAAGTAAGTATAGGTTTGCTAAACAACACGGTGGAGTTAAATCCCAATATATTCTTATTTCTTCAAGAAAATTTTTAAATCAATAGAGAGCAATAAACTACATCAGCAAAGATCTGTAATGTTGTCTATATGATCCTCGAATTTGGAGGGATCCAGATTGAGGAGTTAAGCAGGCAAAAATGGGAAATTTTAAGAAAAAACTTTCAAGGATAGGAGCGCCAACACATGACCCAGGCAGAGGTAGGATGGACATTACAGGCTTGGCATCTTCCAGGATATTGAGCTGAATCTGAGGAACACACCAATTCCTACAAGAATGAAAATGGGGTAATGGAGTAGGCTCTGAAACTGAATTTTCATGGGGCATTCGATGATGAAGCAGAACCTAGGCTCCAGGAAAGCTAGAACTCACTTCAGAGGAGCTCTCTGCTATTGCTCTCCTATCCCTCCCACCACCCCGCCCCCACACACATACACACACCCCTGCAGCTTTCTTCCCTTAAAAACTTACTACTGGGGAAGACAAACCAGTAAGGTAGATAAGACAACAAGAATTCCTACATATTTTATTCCAGTAAACATAAGGCCCAGGCTAAGATCAAAAAATAAGAATAGGAAATAATAATATTTGATTCTTCCAAAGTTGCAAAGAGAAGCTTTCTAAGAATGCATACTTATGTGCAGTTTTCCTCCTGAGTTGTTTCTAATATGCCACTTGAGGTATACTTGACATGCAATAAGTTGTACAGATATAAAGTGTACAATTTCATGAGTGTCTCACCATGTGATACTCATCACATGTGAAACCATCACTATAATCAGGTAACAAACATATATAGTACCCCCAAAACTTTCCTTTATGTTCCTGTGTTATTCCTCCAACTTACCACTGCCCATTCTTTATCAAACCCCCAGTTACCAGGCAACCATGGATCTGCTTTCAGTCACTATAGATTACTTTCCATATTCTAGAATGGTATATAAATGGAATCATACATCATTGTGTTTTCTCTGTGCCCACAGATGCCTGTTTCTTCCTCTTTTTATAAAGACACCAGTCCTATTGTACTACGGCCTCACTGTATGGCCTAATTTAACCTTAACTACCTACTTAAAAGCCTTATATCCAAATACAGTCACATTGAGAGTGTGGGCTTCAACACATGGATTTTGGAGACAAACAAGTCAGTCCATAACAGTCTTTCTGAAGCAGATTGGTTATTAGCATTTTCAGTAAGGACGTATGTTTAGTAAACAGCCCTCATCTTTTTTTAAGGGGAGAGGGGAATGTTATTATTTAATTCAAACCCCAGAACAAATTTTTAGCAAAGAATTCAGGATTACGGTTACATTCCTTAGCCCTTGAAAAAATGAATCAACTGTCTTCTGGCATACAGTTCTTTGACACAATTTTTCATGTTATTCAAACTGGGATTATCTTCCCCTTTTGGAGATTACCTCTCACTACCTTGCAGCTGCTTTCTGAATTCCCATTTGCCTCTAAGGTTGCAATTTTATTTCTCTCTCTCTCTCTCTCTCTCTCTCTCTGTGTGTGTGTGTGCGTGCGTGTGTATGAATATGTATATTGTATTTTATTAAATCTAGAATGCATAGACTAGAAGACATGTCATTGTTTTATGTACCACCATTAACAAGTATCATTATTTTAATTGGTCAGAGGAGAGGGAAAATATGATCATCTTAATAAACAGCAAAAAATTTGATAGTTTTTAACAGAGATTTTATTACAATACTATACACAGGAAGATAGGAAACAAATATTCTCCCTGAAGAATATTTTTAAAAGAATTTATCTCAAAGCTAGAGTCAGTATTACGTTTATTGTTAAAACACTAGAAAACACTCCATTTGCAAAGACAGCAGTTACGATCAGGATTACTTAACACTTTGAATGTTCAAACCATTTCATTATACAACTGATACCAAAAAAGAATTACAAGTAGTAAAATGGAGAAGTAAAATAATCATTATAAGTCACTATATGCAGATGATATAATTTTCTATCTGCAAAGCCAAGAGAATGAGCAAAGCAAATGTGGTAGTTTAGTAAGGCAGCTGGCTTCTAATTCAACAAACGAAGCAAATTACTTTTTTGCATACACGCTAATCAGGTACTAAATATTATACAAAAATTAAAAACACTTAATATAG
This sequence comes from Homo sapiens, assembly GCF_000001405.40. NCBI lineage: Eukaryota > Metazoa > Chordata > Mammalia > Primates > Hominidae > Homo > Homo sapiens. The sequence goes on from NW_003571050.1 coordinate 136,564, forward strand.
GTACTAAAATTCCATATTCTTTTATGTACTTTATCTACCAGATTGAGATGTAAGTTTAAGAAGCCTATTTTTAGTAACTGTGTCACATACATACATACACACATGTATTTTATACATTATAGGTTTTCTCATTTAAAAATCTCAAAAAAGGTGAATGATTGATACAAAATCTATATTATCTGTTTGTATAAGAACTCTTTATAGTATTCGCATTCTTCTCTGTATGGTAATATACATACTTTCATATATCCTAATTTGTGATATGTTTGGATGGTGTTGATTCCAAGCATATCTTTGTAAAATTCACAAAGTTATACACAATGAAAGAATCTTAAGGAAGTATAAATTTATATAACATACAAGAATTTCTTAGGAGCTATTTTTTTTCTAATATATTCAAGATGATTCTCTAAATTCTTTGTGACCTGAGGGCTCCCCATCTTTGAACATGTACCTCAGCCACAGTAGCACTGACAGAGAGGCCTGTCTCAGCTTCTTGTTTCCAAGAATCAGAACACATGAGTGACATGAAGGATAAGCCATTCCCATCACCTGGGAAAGAATAATTAGATTTTCCTCCAACCTTTCAGAGGTCCAAACTGATATGAAAAAAGACAGAGAGAAAATGGCATAGAGTAGGAAGAAAGTGATCACACTTTTAACTCCTCTGTGGGCTTTGGTGCTGGCGTCTCCGGATATTTTGACAGTGTGCTGCATCTTCTTGCGATGTTTCCACATGGAGAAGATGAGGAGAAGAAACATTGCCAGGGACAAAGTAAAGGGTATGAAAATGAACACAGTGCTGGTTAATACAATAAGACTGGAAAATCGTGTAAAGTTACTTGAATCAGAACTGCAAGTCTTGTTTCTTCTGTATCCATTGATACTGGCATTTATATGGATGTTTATCAGTGCAATATTTAAAAACAAGAAGACCGAAGTCACAAGAAGCAGCACCAAAACCACCTTTTTAACCCTCCACTTTAGGTAGAGAAAAATAGAGTTAGAAAAATTGGCTATCTTGAGAAAATAAAAAGTACCGAGGCCTGTAGCTAACCAGACACTAAAATGATTGATCACTGTCCAGATATTAGTAAGCATTCTGAACATTTTTTCAGTGGCAAATAAAGCTGGGAAAAACACAGACACACACCAGCTTCCGAATATTAACCAAACCAGGCTAATTCGAGAGATTGCCAAAGCAGTGAGGATCCGATCAACCGAAGAGATCTTTCTTCCCTTGACCCAGTCAATACAGTTCACCAGTGCTATGAAACTATTTCCTAAATTTCCAATTATAAATTCCACAATTAAAACGAATGTAAATATGCTCTTTATGACACCACCCATTGCCTGTAAGAGCATGCCCCAATGTCTAATATCACTGCTGAAGACTTCTTAATGCATTCATCTAAAATGCTATGTATATCTGATTCTTGAAAATTCAATAATATATTCCCTTTAAAAAGGGAATGTTAAACCAGCAACCATCCAGATTTGCTAATGGCTGGGTTTAAAGCTCTCTTCATAAAAATCTCTGTATTTCCCCAGACAGCTCAGCTGAGCTTCATCCAGATGCTGTGTGCCTTATACACAGTAGGCTGAAGTCTTTTGTAGCTGGTGAGAAAGGAAACACTGAATTCTCATTTGTAAACATGCAAATAAGGACATATTTATTTTCATTGGTTTGTGTGTTTTTTTTTTTTTTTTTTGTCTTATCTACATACTTCAGTCTGTCAAATTGAGTTCTGGGGAAGTATCATTACAAAAATTGGTATATGAAACTTTGTAAGCACTGAGAATTTTTACATACTTCCGTGTTTGGGTGGAGAAAAATGGGGAGATGATGGTGAAAGTTTACAGAACCTCAGTTAGACAAGAGGAATAAGTTTTGTTCTGCTTTTCTGAGATCTATTGAACAGCATTGTGAATATGGTTAATAATAGTGTATTGTACATTACAAAATTGCTGAAAAAGTAACTTTCAAATATTCTCACCATAAAAAAATATTTGTTACCTGTTATCTGTTATATTTATTATCATTTGAATACGTTAATTAGTTTCATTTAATTATTCCACATAGTAGTCATAAATCATAACAACACCTGATACCTCATAAATGTATGCAAGTAAAATATGTCAATTTACAATAAAAATAAAGAAAATAAAGAAAAATCAGATGGTTTTTTAAAGTTAAGTCTGTAAAGGGACTTATTCATAGTTATCCAAAGCTCCTCCTACAAAGTAGCAGAGTTTTCTAATAATCTTGTGGAAGACATTATTCCTAGAATGCTGGGTACCAAGAATAATACTTTTCTATTATTTTACTTTTTACAAGTACATGCCCAGCAAACATGCGCGCACACACACAAACACACAAACGCATACATTTATTTGGGATCTAAATCTTTTTCTCTTTTCACTTAAATAATTCAGGCTTTTTACTTTCAGCATTTATTATGCATCTAGTTCATGTTTAGTACTGTGATAGTTTTAAACACATTTAAAAAGACTTGCAAGTTTATATTAAATAGTAATACATGTAAATATTCCGGAGACTTTGGAAATATTTTCTCTGTACATGTGAGAAGAGGTAGAAATCTATCTATTGTCTCATAAAGCAGTCATTGTGTTTGAATGAGTTCATCCACATGGCAAGAATTCTTATTCTGTGCCTCTCCCCTGCCCAGTAGGGCATATTGCTTCATCAGCACCAAATACCTTCACATTTTTTTCACATATACTCACTCTCCCAGCAACATCTACTCCATGATCCTCACTACAGGGACCAATGTAGATAAAGGATGACATACTGTCTAGCCAAGACGGGGAAATCAGCAGCATGATACAGTCATTCTTCTTCAATAGCTAAAAAAGTAAGTAAAGTGAGCAAAGCACCAATGAAACAAATTCAGCAACAGCTACCAAACAAAGTAGAAAAATATGCCTCATAAACGTCAAAGATGGCAGAGAAAGATGTAAGGTGTTCCACTATGAAGAACTGATCCCTCACCTTCAGTCCCCTGAAGCAAAGCTAAGCAAAAATAAAATAAAATAAAACCAAAATATCTTGGAAATTACCGTATATTTAGTCAAGAGAGCTATTGAAAAGGCAAACTCAGCTAGCATGGACAAATATTAAGGAAAAATCCCAAGGCTAGAAGTACAAACGTACTATCCACATAGAGACAAGAAGGTTACCCTGGCCTCGCTATATCCAGGCAATAAAGATGAGGTTGGGAAAGAAGACAAAGAGAAAGACAAACTACCATGGTGGGTGGGGGGTTGTGTGGTGGGTTCTGTTGAGACTTCATGGATACTTTGAAAAGAGAGCAGAGCTCACGTCTCCAGTGAGAGCTACAATAACCCCAGAGGGTCTCGCCCAAAGGACCTCAGCACTTGCATCATTCATGCTGGGTTGAAAACACTAGGTTTTCATTGGAACAACAGCTCTTAGGGAAAGGCAATCTTTTTCAGAAAAAGAGCAGCAAAAATAATAATTCCCACACACTACATCCAGAAATTAGAATAAAAACTCAGTTCCTCAGAGAAGAGCAGTGTCTTAATCCATTTCAGTGTCAAAGTTACATTTAGGTGTATACAGAACAGATTAGTGTGTTTCATTTTAACTTTTTTATGCATCAAAATTTATGTACTAACTGTATCAAATGTTTGAATTTATTTATTATTAAAATTTATTATTTATTTATTATTAAAATTTATTATTTATTATTAAAATTTATTTGAATATTTCTCCCTTCACTTCTTGTATCATATTTTTGGATTTCCTTGCATTGGGCTTCACTTTTCTCTGGTGCCTTTCTGATTAGCTTAATAACTAACCTCCTGAATTTTTTTTCAGGTAAATCAGGGATTTCTTCTTGGTTTGGATCCATTGCTGGTGAGCTAGTGTGATGTTTGGGGAGTGTTAAAGAGCCTTGTTTTGTCATATTACCAGAGTTGGTTTTCTGGCTCCTCCTCATTTGGGTAGGCTCTATCAGAGAAAAGATCTAGGGCTGAAGGCTGTTGTTTAGACTTTTTTGTTCCAGAGGGTGTTTCTTTGATGTAGTATTCTCCCTTTTTTCCTATGGATGTGGCTTCCTGACAGCTGAGCTGTAGTAATTGTTATCTCTCTTCTGGATCTAGTCACCAAGAAAGTCCACCAGGCTCCAGGCTGATATTGGGGTTGTCTGCACAGAGTCCTGTGATGTAAACCATCTGTTGGTCTCTCAACTGTGGATACCAGCACCTGTTCTGGTGGAGGTGGCAGGGGGGTGAAATGGACTCTGTGAGGGTTCTTAGCTTTGGGAGTTTAATGCTCTATTTTTGTGTGGTTGGCCTCCTACCAGGAGGTAGTTCTTTCTAGAGAGCATCAGCTGTGATAGTATGAAGAGGCACCGGCAGTGGGTAAGTCACTAGAACTCTCAAGAGTTTATGCCCTTTGTGCTCAGAATACCAGGGTGGGTAGGGAAGTACCATCAGGTGGGGCAGAGCTAAGCATGTCTGAGCTCAGACTCACTCTCTCCTGCTGTGGCTGCTAGGGGGGATGGGGCTGAGGTTTCCAGGTTAATGGAGTTATGCACCTAGAAGGAAGCTGCCTCTGCTGAGTCATGCAGGTTGTCGTGGAAGTGAGAGAACGCTGGCAGTCACAGGCCTGACCCAGCTCCCATGCAATCCAAAGGGCTGGTCTCACTCCCACCATGCCTCCCCAATGGCACCCTGTCTGTTTCCAGACAGTCGGCAAGCAGGGCTGAGAACTTGCCACAGGCTACCCACCTCCTAGCTGTGAAAGAAAGTAGGACTTTAGTTCTTCCCCTGCCTATTTAGTCTGCACAATGGATTTGAACTCTTCCCTCAGTTCTGGCCAGGAGGCTTCTTGATGACTTCAAATTGTTCCAAAATTCAGCTGGTGATTTCCTTCTCTCTGTGGCATTTCCCTCTTGTCACCCTCCCAAAGGATCTTTGTGATGCCACACAGGAATAGCCTGCTTGAGGACCCAGCGAGCTCACAGGGCCTTTTCTACTGCTCCCTCTATTCCTGTATTTTGCTCAGCTCTCTAAATTAACTCAGCTCCAGGTAAGGTTGTAATCTTTTCCCATAAAATAGACCTTCAGTTTTCCCAGGGGAGGTTGTGTTTGGGGGCAGAGGATCTCCCTTTCCCACTTCTGCAATTTGGGCCTTCACAGTATTTGGGGTGTCTCCCAGGTTCTGCAGGAGCAGCCCACTTTCTTCAGAAAACCTGTGGGTCCTCTCGCATTTCCTGATTTTTTTCTGCAGTCTTTCTGGAGCTAAAATTCATGATGCAAGCCTTCACAAGCTCCTCTGTCTTTCCAAGTCAGAACTGCAATTTAGTCCTGCCTCCCATCCACCATGATGGAGCTGATTGTTTTTCACATTTTAGTAATAGCCATTCTGACTGGTGTGAGATGGTACCTCATTGTGGTTTTGATTTGGATTTCTCTAATGATCAGTGATGTTAAGTTTTTATTCACATGCTTCTTGGTCACATGTACGTCTTCTTTTGAGAAGTGTCTGTTCAGGTCTTTTGCCCACTTTTTAATGTGGTTGTTTTTCTCTTGTAAATTCAAGTTCCTTATAGATGTTGGATATAAGGCCTTTGTCAGATGCATTGTTTGCAAATATTTTCTTTCATTCTGTAGGTTGTCGATTTACTCTGTTGATATTTTCTTTTCTTGTGCAGGGGCTCTTAAGTTTAATAGGATCCCATTTGTCAATTTTTGTTTTTGTTTGATTGCTTTTGATGTCTTTGCCATGAAATCTTTGCTCATTCCTAGGTCCAGGATGGTATTGCCTAGGTTGTCTTCCAGGGCTTTTACAGGTTTCTTTTTACATTTAGGTCTTTAATCCATTTTGACTTGATTTTTTTATATGGTACAGGGAAGAATTTCAGATTTGATCTTCTGCAGATAGCTAGCCAGTTATCCCAGTGCTATTTATTAAATACGAAGTCTTGTTCCCATAGCTTGTTTTTGTCAGTTTTGTCAAAGATTAGATAGTCATAAATGTGTGGCCTTATTTCTGGGATCTCTATTCTGTTCCATTGGTGTATGTACCTGTTTTTATGCCAGTACCATGCTATATTGGTCACTGTAGCTCTGTAACATAGTTTGAAGTTGGGTAATGTGATTCCTCTAGCTTTGTTAGCTCTGTTGTTTTCACTTAGTATTACTTTAACTATTAGGGCTCTTTTTTGGTTCCATATAAATTGTAAAATAAATTTTTCCAGTTCTGTGAAGAATCTCATTGGTAGTTTGATAGGAATAACATTGAATCTGTACATTCCTTTGGGCAGTACAGCCATTTTAATAATTGATTCTTTGTATCCATGAACATGGGATGTTTTCCCATTTGTTTGTGTCTTCTCTGATCTTTTTGGGAAGTTTTTTTATAATTCTTATTGTGTAAATTTTTCACTTCCCTCGTTTGCTGTATTCCTAGGTATTTTTTGTGTGTGTGGCAATTGTGAATGGGATTGCCTTCCTGATTTGATTGTTGTTGGTTTATAGGAATACAAGTGATTTTTGTACATTGATTTTGTATCCTGCAACTTTTCTGAAGTTGTTTATCAGATGAAGGAGCTTTTGAGCCAAGACTATGGGGTTTTGTAGATAGAGAATATGTCAACTGCAAACAGTTTGACATACTCTATGGTTTTTTGGGCGTCCTTTATTTCTTTCTCTTACCTGATTGCTCTGGCCAGGACTTCCAATACTATGTTGAAAAGAAATGGTGACAGAGGGAATCGTTTCCTGTTGCTGGTTTTCAAGAGGAATGCTTCCAGCTTTTGCCCATTCAGTATGATGTTGGGTGTGGGTTTATCATAGATGGCTCTTATTATTTTTAGTATGTTCCTTCAATATCTAATTTTTTGAAATAGTTTAACATGAAGGGATGTTGAATTTTTATCAAAAGCCTTTTCTGCATTTATTGAGACAGTCATGTGGTTTTTGTCTTTAGTTCTGTTTATGTGATGAATCATATTTATTGATTTTTGTATGTTGAACTAACTTTGCATGCCAGGATGAGGCCTATTTGATCATGGTGGATTAGCTTTTTGATGGGCTTGTGGATTCAGTTTGCAAAGGTTTTGTTGAGGATTTTTGCATCGATGTCCATCAAGGATTTTGGTCTGTAATTTTCTGTTGCTGTTGTGTCTCTGCCAGGTTTTGGTATCAAGATGATGCTGGCCTCATACAATGAATTAAAGAGAAGTCCTCCTAAACTTTTTGGATTAGTTTCTGTAAAAATGGTAACAGCTCTTCTTTGTACACCTGGTAGAATTTGGCTGTGAATCCAGCAGGTCTTGGGCTTTTTTGGGTTCATAGGCTATTTATTACTGATTCAATTTTGGAGTTCATTATTGGTCTGTGCAGGGAACAAATTTCTTCCTGGTTCAGTCTTGGGAGTATCGGGTGAAATTCACCCCCGATATTTCACTTAGGTTCTTTTCTATTTTCCCTAAGTGTCAGCCAGTCTGAGAAATAAAAAGACAGAGTACAAAAGAGAGAAATTTTAAAGCTGGTGTCTGGGGGAGACATCACATGTTGGCAGGTTCAGTGATGCCCCCTAAGCCATAAAACCAGCAAGTTCTTATTAGTGATTTTCAAAAGGGGAGGGAGTGTACAAATAGGGTGTGGGTCACAGAGATCACATGCTTCACTAGGTAATAAAATATCAAAAGGCAAATGGAGGCAGGGCGAGATCACAGGACCACAAGACCGGGGCAAAATTAAAATTGCTAATGAAGTTTCGGGCATGAATTGTCATGGATAACATCTTATCAGGAGACAGGGTTTGAGAGCAGACAACCGGTTTGACCAAAATTTATTAGGCAGGAATTTCCTCATCCTAATAAGCCTGGGAGTGCTACGGGAGACCAGAGCTTATTTCATCCCTCAGCTAAGACTGTAAAAGACAGCCGTCCCCAAAGCGGCCATTTCAGAGGCCTCCCCTCAGGGACACATTCTCTTTCTCAGGGATGTTCCTTGCTGAGAAAAAGAATTCAGTGATATTTCTCCATTTGCTTTTGAAAGAAGAGAAATATGGCTCTGTTCCACCTAGCTAACCAGCAGTCAGAGGTTAAGGTTATCTCCCTTTTTCCCTAAACATTGCTGTTATCCTGTTCTTTTTTCAAGGTGCCCAGATTTCATATTGTTCAAACACACAGGCTCTACAATTTGTGCAGTTAATGCAATCATCACAGGGTCCTGAGGCAACATACATCCTCCTCAGCTTATGAAGATGATGGGATTAAGAGATTAACGTAAAGACAGGCATAGGAAATCACAAAGGTATTGATTGGGGAAGTGATAAGTGTCCATGAAATCTTCACAATTTATGTTCAGAGATTGCAGTAAAGACAGGCATAAGAAATTATAAAAGTATTAATTTGGGGAACTAATAAATGTCCATGAAATCTTCACAATTTATGTTCTTCTGCCATGGCTTCAGCTGGTCCCTCCGTTTGGGGTCTCTGACTTCCAGCAGCAGGGAGGGTGTATGTGTCCAGGAATTTATCTATCTCTTCTAGGTTTTCTAGTTTGTCTGCACAGAGGTGTTTACAGTGGTTCTGATGGCTGTTTCCATTTCTGTAGGGTAAGTAATAACATTCCTTTAAATCATTTCTAATTGTGTTTATTTGGATCTTCTCTCTTTTCTTCTTAATTAGTCTACCTAGTGGCCTATTTTATAATTATTTTTAATTCCAACTCCCAAATTCATTGATCTTTTGAATGGTTTTTTGTGTCTTAATTTCCTTCAGTTCAGCTCTGATTTGTGTTATTCCTTATCTTCTGCTAGCTTCGGGGTTGATTTGTTCTTTTTTCTCTAATTCTTTCAATTTTGAATTTAGATTGTTAATTTGAGGCCTTACAAACTTTTTGATGTGGGCATTTAGTGCTATGAATTTCCCTCTTACTACTGCCTTAGTTGTGTCTCAGAGATTCTGGTTTGTTGTATCTTTGTTCTTATTATTTTTATAGAACTTCTTGATTTCAGACTTAAATTTATCTAAAAGTCATCCAGGAGCATGATGTTTAATTTCCATGTAATTGTATGCTTTAATAATTTTCATTGTGTTGACTTTTATTTTTATTGCACTGTGGCCTGAGAGTGTGTTTGGTATGATTTTGGTTATTTTACATTTGTTGAGGATTGTTTTATATCCAATTATGTGGTTGATTATAGAGTATGTGCCATGTGGCTATGAAAAGAATGTATATTCTCTTATTTGGGGATGGACACTTCTGTAAAGGTCTACCAGATCCATTTGGTCCAATGCTAAGTTTAGGTCCTAAATATCTTCATTAATTTTCTGCCTGTATGATCTAATACTGTCAGTGGAGTGTTGATGTCACTCACTATTATTGGGTGGGAGTGTATGTCTATTTGTAGGTCTCTAAGAACTTGCCTCATGAATCCAGACATTCCTGTATTGGGTGCATATCTATTTGGGATTGTTAGGTCTTCTTGTTAAATTGAATACTTTACCATTATGTTATATCCTTGCTTGTCTTTTTTTTAAAAAACTTTCATTTGTTTGAAACTTGTTTTGTCTGAAATTAGGATTGCAACCCCCCTTTTTTCTGTTTTCCATTTGCTTGGTAGATTTTTCTCCATTTATTTATTTTGAGCCTATGAGTGTCATTAAATTTGAGACGGGTCTCTTGAAGACAGAATACCATTGGGTCTTGCTTTTTTATCCTGCTTGCCATTCTGTGCCATTTAATTGTGTCATTTAGCCCATTTACATTCAAGATTAATATTGATATGTGTGGATTTGATCCTGTCATTGTGCTGTTAGCTTGTTATTATGTTGTCTTGTTTGTGTTGTTGCTTTACAGTGACACTGGTCTCTGTGTTTCAGGGTTTTTTTTATTAGCTGGTAGTGGTGTTCTTTTCTATACTAAGTGCCGCTTTCAAGATCTCTTGTAAGGCAGTTCTGGTGATAATAAATTCCCTCAACATTTGCTTACCTGAAAAAAATCTTCCTTCTCCTTCACTTAAAAAGCTTAATTTGGTTGGATATGAAATTCTTGGCTGAAGATTTTTTTCTTTAAGAATGTTGAATATAGGCCTCCAATCTCTTCTAATTTGTAAGAACTCAGCTGACAGATCTGCTGTTACCGTGATAGAAATCCCTTTGTACGTGACCTGCCCTTTCTCTCTGGCTGCCTTTAACATTCTTTCTTTTATTTCAATCTTGGGAAATCTGATGATTATATATCTTGGAGATGATCTTGTGTAGAATCTTGCATGAGTTCTCTGTATTTCCTGAATATGTCTGTTGGCCTCTCTAGCAAGGTTGGGAAAGAGTTCATGAATGATATTCTGAAATATACTTTCCAAGTTGTTTGCTTTCTGGCTCTCCCTTTCAGGGATTCCAGTGATTTACAGATTTAACCTCTTTTTATAATCCCATACTTCTCAGGGGTTTTGTTCATTTCTTTTTATGCTTTTTCTTTATTTTTGTCTGACTGTATTATTTCAGAAAACCAGTCTTCAAGTTCTGAAACTCTTCCCTCAGACTAGTATATTCTGCTGATAATCCTTGTGATTGCATTGTGAGATTCTTGTATTGCGTTATTCAGCTCTGTCAGACCCATTAAATTCTTTCTAATACTGGTTATTTCATCCTTCAGCTCCTGTATCACATTATTGTGATTCTTATTTTCCTTGGATTGGGTTTTGTCTTCCTCCCAAATCTCAATAATCTTTGTTTCTGCCATATACTGTATTCTGTCATTCTAGCCAGTTCAACCTTGTTAAGAACTCTTGTTGGAAAACTGCTGTAGTCTTTTGGAGGAAATATGATATTCTGGCCATTTGAGTTATTGCATTTGTTCTTTCTCATCTCTGTATGTGGGTGTTTCTTTAACTGCAGTGTATATTAGGCACAGTAAATAGACTTCCTTTCTGGATGTTTTCACCAGGGAGAGCCTTTGTGTAGGGTATTTATTTGAAGCTGACTTTGTGTCTCTGGCTTCAAAGGGGGTTATGTTAGTGAGGCATTTTTGGTGTTGAAGTTTTGGGGTGTAATCCAGCAGGTGACACTTATGCTTATTGGTCAGTTGATAGACTGTTGCTCAATTATATGTTTCCCCTATGTTTCCTCACAGTTGCAGCCATGTTCCCTCTCAGTGTTCTGAAGATGTAGGTTCCTTGTGCCCTTCAGTCCTGGCTACAGTTCAAAACTTGGCATTCCTGAGCTGCCAACTGCAGCCCTGGTGGAATCTCAGTGTTTATATTCCTTTCCCAGTTTAGAGGTAGCACTGAAGAGATCTTAGTAGTGGTTGTGGCCAAGAGTCAACCTCTGGGGGTTCCATCCCAGAGAGATGCAGGTCAGCAAACACTCAGTGCAGTCAGCCCAAGATGGAGGGTTTGTGCATTTGTGGGACCCATGGAAGTCTAACTGGGTTTCTCTCCTTGGGTTGACTGCATCTTGTTGGAGGTATGGATAAGGCACTTAGGATCTTTGCTCCTTCATTAGTCCAAGAGTGGCAAGGGCAGTTCTACTGCAGAGGCCAGTGGCAGAGAGGTTTTCAGTTGCTCCTGGAGGCTTTGTCCAAGATTAGCATTAAGAATTTAAATTTACATTTCTAGATTATACCTTCTTTTAAAAATTAATTTAAAGAAAAGCTTATAATTTTAACTTGTATTTCTTACTACCATAATGCACTATGCTTCTTTGTTAAGAAAAACATGATAATTATAATACCATTGTATCTATGCACATATGTAGTTTTGGCTTAATTTTTTATTATTTTACTTTATTTTCTGATTTTTAAATATTTTTACTATTGTCGAACATAACATAGTTATGAAAAGTAACAAAACTTAAATACACAGTTAGGGAAAAAATTATAAGTTTATCTCCCATGTTTACTACATCTTGGCCAAAAAATAAAATTTGCCAAAAATCCAGACACTCCCCATATATACCTTCTTGTTGATATTGTTTCTCTTTAGTTTTCTTCCTCCCACATATCCCAGTTGTTATGATAATCACTTATATGTTTCGTTTTAGAGTTTTGCCACCAATGTAATAAATTACAATGTATTAAAATATATTTTTGCAAACTTCATATAAATTGAATTATATTGAATATTTTTTCAATATTGATAATTCCTCTCACATCTGTATTAGCTATTTAGCTCAAATTTGTTCATTTTCTTTGTTATATAAATTCTTTGTAAACATGTCACTCTGGTTTGCTTTTTAATTGCTGTATAGTACTCTACCGCATAAGTATGCCATAATTTATTTATCATTTTATCACTGATGGACATTTGGGAGACTTCTCAACTTGAGCTATTAAAACACAGTGATACACACTTTTTTCATATGTATTCCAGTAGGAGTACAAATATTGGGTCTTATGAGGTGATCCTCCATCATAATCAGATTATGTCATACTCAGCCAAAGGAATTCTTTCAATTGATAATCCTAGGAGAAGTGTCTGAAAATTGTCAGTGCCTCATGCCCTTTTCAAAATTAGAAACATCAAAGAATAATTTTTGCACTTTTATATTTATATAAAATATTATTAAACTTAACATTTTACAATTTAAATTCACATTTGAAATGTAACTGTAGTTTAAAAATTACATATTACTCTTTTTTCATTCTACGACTCTGATTTCATATACATTTCTTAAGAATAAATTATATATTTAATATACTTATTTGTATTATGTTGTTAACTTTTCTAATCTTTTTTCTTGAAGTTTCAAATTCTCTTTTGTTATCAGCAAGTAGAGTCATACCAGAGATATTTTCTTCAATCAAACATTATGTCAAATGACTTTGAGAAAATATGATTAGCTATCAGCATATTGTAAGGGAAAATTAGATTGTTTAGATTGTTTAACAACCCTTGAAAGAACTCATTAAAAAAGTGTTAAAATATTAAAATGATTATACATTTAATATAGGCATCATAGGAAAATACAAATTCTATCATTACTAGTTTGGAAAAAAAAAAGATTGGTAGTAAACTTCCCATGTCTGAACAAACACACATTAAAAAAGGGCAAGCCCAGTATCACTGGTCATGATCCCCTTTAAGGTCTTGATCTTAAACTCTCTGCGATCCTGATTTCTGAATGTGCAGTAAAATTCTTGGTTCTTCTAAATTCAATTCTGGGACCAATGTCAAATAGGAAAGCGCTAGGGCATACTAATGGATGAGTTCAATGCTGCCTTTATGGAAAAAATGTAATTTTCAAAACGGCTCAAATTACCTACTATTTAAACAACGTCTCTTCTTGCTATAGGCTTTTTTCATAATAATTTGGAAGTAAAAGCTGATTTCTCATTTGCAAGCATGCAAATGAAGACATATTCTCTTTCACTGTTTTGCAATATTTTCCTCGTGTAGTCATAATTTGTGTTCAGCAACATCACTTGCTATGGAAATTTTTAAACCCAATACATAGATCATATATTGGATGTCTAAATTTCTGAAGGAAGCTTGATCATAACTTGTATCATGACTGCTGTTAATTTATTTTTCTCAATACCAGATACATGTAAACAGAATCTAAATTTTTCCTATCAAAAGCATTCAAGATTTTCTTGGGAAGACATATACACCCATACACATATACATATACCCCACATGAATGGGAATAGTTTTTGTCCTACAGTTTCCAAAATGGAAAATAAATTTTAGGGATGTCACATGCAGGTTGAAATGGCCCTATTTTCCTACTCATAATTTTCAGCCCATTTTCAATATTTATCGAACTGATCTCGCATCCTTAGGCTTTTAAGGAAGTCATTCTCTTAAGTCAATTTGATATACAAATATGAATTATTTAATTAAATATTCAGCATTTTTGTAAATATTCCTTGAGCACTTAAAAAATGTGTTTTCGATTGAAGAATATTGACTTCTCTGTATATGAATATTTGGATATTTTTCTTTCATTTTAACTTATTTTTATTATTTAATGGTTTAAGATTAACAGATGTTAAAATCAGTCTCCAATGTTGGGTTTTATTCATTCTCAGTTTTTACAGTATAATTGTTTCTAAGAAAGGATCTTGGAGTCAGACTGCCAGGAAAGGAAATCCAGTTCTCTGCTTCATATAGGTATGATCCGAGAATCTATTTTACAACAGCCTTAGGATAGCTATCTATTAAATGCAGATGATAATAATACCCTCTTTGGATAGTCTTTATGAAGAGTTAGTACACATTTGTATAACTGATTTCAATATCACCTGTCTGGTTCAGGCACGAAACAAGGATTGCTCGTGTTTTATTTGATCTTGTGTTACTTGATACAGAGAGGTTACCTGTGAAAACTTCCACTTTTGAATAGATGTAATAGGTTCAAGAAAGCAAGATGTCCTTCTGCAACAACTAGCATAAGATAAATAAAGGGGCCAAAATTATGTTTGTATTCATCAAAGAGCTTGCAAGCAATAAGGACCACCTGAAATGAAATCCAGCACAAGGCGAGTCTTTACGTGTGAAGAGCAATTTATAATGCAACCCTCATCACGTCACAGAAAGCTTTTTCTGCAGAAAATGTAAAACTACTCCAAAAATATGCCTGGAAATGCCAAGTGATTAGGCCAATAAAATAATTTTTTTTTAAATACAAAGTTGGAGGATTAGTTTCTCATTTCAAAGTTTACTGCAAGTTTACTGGACTAAATCAAGACACTGTGGTAATTGCACTATGAGAGACAAAAAGAACAATGAAACACAATTGACTGTCCAGAAATTAGTAATGACATTCATGGTCAGCTGATTTTTAAAATCATACAATTGCAATTCAATAGGAATTAATCATTTTTCTCAACAAATGATTCTGGGAAAATTAAATATCCACATGCATAAAGATGAATTTAGGCTACTGCCAATGCCCGCATGGAAGCTGGCAGCCTTGGGCCAGCCTGCACCCCATCCCGGTCCAAGAGCCTATACCCTGCCACACTGCTGCTGCTGGCATGTGTTAACAAGCTTGCGTTACACTGTCACTATTCAATGAAGAGCTTTGGCTGGTACCATCCTTCAGAGTGTTGTGGCCAGCAATTCAGGAACACAATGTCCCTTCCAGCACAGCAGATTCCCAATGTTGAGGTGCCAGAGAACAAAGTCCGGTGTCCAAAACTAGACCCCAGACTTAGAGTTAGAAATCTTTTCCCCCCTAAAATCTACCAGAAACAAACTCATTTGATGGAATCCACAGTGAAACCCCAAAGTGTGTCAAAGAAGATAAAAACAGAAAAAAAAAAATCCAAAGAATGGCAACTTCGAAGACTGAAGAATATCAGCCCACAGAGATGAGAAAGAATCAGCACAATAACTGTGGCAACTCAAAAAGCCAGAGTATCTTCTTACCTCCAAATGACCACGCTAGTTCCCTCCCATGCTGAAAAGGCAGAAATATGATTCAGACCATGGATAGGAACAAAGATCAATGAAATTCAGGAGAAAGTCAAAACACAATCCAAAGATTCTGAGGAACGCCATAAAATGATACAGAAGACACAAACAAAATGGTCATTTTAAGAAAAAATCCAACTGATCTGATAGAGCTGAAAACATCACTTCACGAATTTTGGAATACTAATGCAAGTGTTAACAACAGAATCAACAAAGCTGGGGAAAGAATCTCAGAGCTCAAGAGTAGTCCTCTGAAATTACTCAGTCAGGCAAAAATAAAGAAAAATAATGAAGAAGAATGCACAAAACCTCCAAGAAATATAATATTTTGTTAACAGACTAAATATATGACTCATTGGCATCCATGAAATACAGGAATAGAAGGCAAACAACTTGGAAAACCTATTTCAGGATATAGTCCATAAAAATTTCCTCAACCTTGTTAGAGAGGCCAGCATTCAAATTCAGGAAATGCAGAGAACCCCTACGAAATACTACACAAGAAGAATATACCCAAGACACATAGTCATCAGATTCTCCAAGGCGAAAATGAAAGAAAAAGTGCCATAGGCATCTAGAGAGAAAGGGCAGGTCACCTACAAAGGGAACAGCATTGAGCTAACAGTGGACCTGTTAGCAGAAACTCTACAACCAGGAAGAGATGGGGGCTCATATTCAGAAATTTTTTGAAAAAGAATGTCCGACCAAGAATTTCATATCCAGCCAAACTAAACTTCATAAGTGAAGGAGAAATAGGATCTTTTTCAGACAAACAAATGCTAAGGGATTTGATTACCACCAGACCCACCTCACAAGAGGTCCTGAATGGATTGCTAATCATAGAAAAGAAAGATCATTATCAGCCATAACAAAATCACACTTAAGGCCATAGACCAGTATACTATAAAGTAACCACAGAAACCAGTCTGCATGATAAGCAGCTAACAACATAATGAAAGGATCAAATTCCCACATATCAATACTAACCTCGAATGTAAACAGGTTAAACACCCCAACTAAAAGGCACATAGAGGCAATTTGGATAAAGAAGCAAGACGCAATGGTATAGTGTCTTCAAGAGACTCACTTACATGCAGTGATACCCATAAGCTCAAATTTAAAAGATGGAGAAAAATCTACCAAGCAAATGGAAAATAGAAGCAGGGTTGCTATTCTAACTTCTTTTTGTTTGTTTGTTTGTTTTGAGTCAGGGTCTCACTCTGTTGCCCAGGCCATAGTGCAGTGGCGCAATCTCAGCCTACCACAACCTCTACCTCCTGGTCTCAAGAAATCCTCCCAACTCAGCCTTGCAAGTACCTGGGACCACATGTGTGCACCACCATGACTGGCTAATTTTTGTATTTGTTTTTTTCTTGATAGAGACAGGATTTTGCCATGTTGCTCAGGCTGGTCTCAAACTCCTGGGGTCAAGTGATCCACCCACCTCAGCCTCCTGAAGTGCTGGTATTACAAGTCTGAGCCATGGCACCTGACCTTGATAATCTACTTTCATACAAAACTGTCTTTAACCAGCAAAGATCAAGAAGAAACAGAAGGGCATTGCATAATTGAAAAAGGCTCAATTCACCAGGAAGACATTACTATTCTAAATGTATATGCACCTGACAAAAGAACACCCAGATTCAGAAAGCAAGTTCTCAGAGACCTATTAAAAGATTTAGAAAATCACACAATAATAGCAAGAGATTTCAACACCCCACCAACAGCACTAGACAGAACATCAAGGCAGAAAACTAACAAAGTTATTCAGGACCTGAAATAGACACTTAACCAAATGAACCTAATAGACATCCACAAAACAGTTCACCCCAAAACAACAGAATACACATTCTTCTCATCTGCACATGGCATATAATCTAAAATCAGCCACACAACCTAACATAAAACAATTCCTAGCAAATATGAAAAAAAGAAAACCATACCAACCACATTCTTGGACCACAGCACAATAAAAATATAAATAAATACTAAGAAAATACCTTAAAACCATATAATTACATAGAAATTAAACAACCCTCTCCTGAATGACTTTTGGGTACATATTGAAATTAAGGCAGAAATCAAGAAATTTTTTGAACATAATGAGAACAAAGATACAACATACCAGAATCTCTGGGATATGGATAAGGCAGTGTTAAGAGGAAAGTTCGTAGCAATAAACACTCACATCAAAAAGTTAGAATGATCTCAAATTAATAACATAACTTCACAAGAGAAACTAAACAAACAAGAGCAAACCAATGCCAAAGCTAGCAAAAGACAATAAATAACCAAAATCAGAGCTGAACTGAAGGAAATTGTGATTAAAAAAAACATACAAAAGGTCAGTGAATCCAGGATTTGATGTTTTTAAAAAATTAATATGATAGACCCCTAACCAGACTAATAAAGAAAAAAAAGAGAGAAGATCCAAATAAACCCAATCAAAAATGACCAAGTGGATATTACCACTGACCCCACTGAAATACAAACAATCCTCCCAAACTACTGTCAACACCTCTATGCCCACAAGCTAGAAAACCTAGAAGAAATGGATAAACTGCTGGATATGTACAACCTTTCAAGACTGAATCAGTAAGAAATTGAATCCCTGAGCAAACCAATAACAAGTTCCAAATTGAAAGAGTAATAAAAAGCCTACCAGACAAACAAACAAAAAAAGCCTAGGACCTGATAGATTCTCAGCAGAATTCCACCATGTGTATAAAGAACTGGTACTATTCACACTAAACCTACTCTAAAAAACTGAGGAAAAGAAACTCCACGCTAACTCATTCTACAAGGCTAATATCACCCTGATACCAAAACCAGGCAGAGACACAACAATAAAAGAAAACAACCTCAATAAACATAGATTTAAAAAAAACACTCCACAAAATGCCAGCAAGTTGAATCCAGCAGCACATCAAAAAGCTAATCCACCATAATCAAGCAGGCTTTATCACTGGGATACAAGTTTGGTTAAACACATGTAAATCAATATATGTGATTCATCACATAAGTGAAACTAACAAAAACCACATTACTATCTCAATAGATGCAGAAAAGGCTTTCAATAAAATTCAATGTCTCTTCATATTAAAAACTCTCAACAAACTAGACATTGAAGATATATACTTCACAATAATAAGAGCCACCCATGACAAACCCACAGCCAATATCATACTAAATGGGCAAAACTGGAAGCATTACCCCTTGAAAACAGGAACAAGACAAGGGTGTCCTCTCTCACCACTCTTATTCAACAGTACTGGAAGTCCTGGTCAAAGCAATCAGGAAGAGAAATAAATAAAAGGCATCCCAATAGAAGAGAAGAAGTCAAATTATCCCTGTTCGCAGATAATGTGACTTTATACCTAGAAATCCCCACAGTTTCTGGCCAAAATCTCCTTGGTCTGATAAACAAACTCAGCAAATTCCCAGGATACAAAATCAATGTACAAAAATTAGTAGCATTCCTATAGCAACAAAATTCAAGCAAAGACAAATCAAGAAGGCAATCCCTTTCACAATAGTCCCAAAAAATAAAATACATAGGAATACAGCTGACCAGGGAGGTGAAATATCTCTACAAAGAGTATTACAAGAGACTGTTCAATTAAATCCAATAAGACATGGACAAACGGGAAAACGTTCCAGGTGCATGGATGGGAAGAATCAATATTGTTTAAATGCCCATACTGCCCAAACCAATTTATAGATTCAATGCTATTCCTGTCAAATTATCATTGATATTCTTCACAAAATTAGAAACAAACTATTTTAAAATTCACTGGGAATGAAAAAAAAAAAGCCCAAATAGCCAAGGCAATACCAAACAAAAAGAACAAAGCAGGAAGTATAACATTACCTGACTGAACCATACTACAAGGATACAGAGACTAAAACAGCATGGTAGTGGTACAAAAACAGGCACGTAGACCAAGGGAACAGAATAGAGACCCGAGAAATAATGCCACCCACCTACAACCATCTAATCTTCAACAAAGTTAACAAAAACAAGCCATGAGGAGAGACTCCCTGCTCTATAAATGGTGCTGGGATAACTGGATAGCCATGTGCAGAAGATGGAAACTGGACACCTTTCTTATACATACACAAAACTCAATGCAAGCTGGGTTAAATAATAAAATGTAAAACCTAAAACTATTTTTTTAAAAAACGGAAAAATAACCTAGTAAACACCATTCCTGCATAGGACCTGGCAAAGATTTCATGGCAAAGACACCAAAATCAATTGCAACAGAAACAAAAATTGAAAAGTGGAACCTCATTAAACTGAAGAGCTTCTGCACAAGAAAAGAAACTATCAACAGAGTAAACAGACAACCTGCAGAATGGGAGAAAATATTTCGTAAACTATGCAAATGACAAAGGCGTAATATCCGGAACATATAAGGAATTTACATTTACAAGCAAAAAACAAATACCACCATTAAAAATTTGATAAAGGACATGAACAATTTTCAAGTGAAGACATACACTCAGCCAACAAACATATGAAAAAATGCTCAATATAACTAATCATTAAAGAAATGTGATTCAAAACCACAATGAGATACTATCTCATACCAGTCAGAATAGCTATTACTAAAACCCCCAAAAAACAACAGATTCTGGCAAGATTGTGGTGAAAGGGAATGCTTTCACACTGCTGGTGGGGAGGTAAATTAGTCCAGCCATTGTGGAAATCAGCATGGCAATTTTCCAAAGAACTTAACACAGAATTACCATTCAAACCAGCAATTCCATTATTGGATATATATCCAGAGAAATATAAATTGTTCTACCATAAAGACACATGCATGAAAATATTCATGACAGAACTATTCATAATAGCAAAGACATGGAATAAACCTAACTGCCCATAAATAGTAGACTGGATAAAGAAAATATGGTACATACACACCATGGAATACTATGCAGTCATTAGAAAAAAACAAGATGATGTAGCAATATGGGTGGAGCTGGAGGCCATTATCCTAAGCCAATAAACATGGAAACAGAAAACAAATACCACATGTTCTCACTTATAAGTGGGTGCTAAACATTGAGTACAGATGGACACAAAGAAGGGAACGACAGACACCACGGTCTATGTGAACAGAGAGAAGGAGGAGAGTGAAGATAAAAGAGATACCTATCAGGTACTCTGCTTCCCACCCGAGTGACAAAATAATCTGTACACAAAGTGCCTGAGACATGCAATTTAGTTACATAACAAACCTGCACATGTACCCCAGAATCTAAAATAAAAGCTAAAAAAAGAAAAAAAAACTGCAAAGTGAAATGAGATTTATCTTTAAATAAGGTAGTATTGGAGGCCTCAATGATTCAATGATATCTGAGGAGTGATAACGTTCAGTGTTGATATCTGAGAAAGAGCAATCCAAGAAGAAGGGACACAAGTATGAAGTCCCTGAGGCAATGCTTGGCATATTCAAGAAGTGACACAAAGGCCAGTGTTGTTAGCATGGGATGAGCCAGGTGTTTTAGGGCACACAGGCAGACAAAATCAGATCATTCAAATGATTATAAGACTTCGTAAGGATTTGGCCTTTACTCTGAATTAGATGAAAGCCACTGAAAAATCTGGAGGAGAAGAATGGCATGATCAAATTTGCGTTTTTACAGGTTCTCTCTGGCTGCCACCTTGAGAATACATCAGGATAAAAGGATGTGCAGAACTAGAAAGAATAATTAGAAACTCATGGCAAATATCCTGGCAAGATATGCAGCAGTTTAGACTAGTATGGCAGAGTGATGACAAGGGATTGGATTCTGTAGGTTTTTGAGGGTAGAGTCAACAAAATTTGCTGATGCCTTAAAGATAGGTTCTGAAAGAGAGAAAATATTGACTCCATTTTTTTTTAGTCTAAGCATCTGAAAGTCTGAAGTGGTCATTAGCAGAAGAGGGAAAGACTGTAGAAGAAACAAATCTGACAATTGGGGGAAGAGCAGTATTTTGATTTGGACATGTTAGTTCAAGTTCCTGTTAGGCATCCAAATGAAGATGTCAAATAGTCTATTAGAGAAAGGATTCGGAGACCAGCGTTGAGATCTCAGCTGAAAGATTAAATGTTGGCATCATCAGCACACAGAAAATAAGTAAGGCCATGAGTAGATGAACTTACCTAAGAAGTGGGAGTTAAAAGAGAAGGAAAAAAACGTAAATTTAGACCCTTATTTTATACTGTACACAAAAATTAACTCATAAGTAATTGATCATAGAGAAAAAAACTTAAGAAATAAGATACTAACAGATACTGAGACATTGTACAAAACGCAAGAAATCAAAAATGGGTTAGTAAACCATAATTCTATCTATGTATTTCTTCACTTATATCATTATCTAATTATATATAGATCATCATATAATTAAAATTCCCCACATATCAATCTGCCAATATCTGCAATGCTATATTAAAATGATATATATGAATATATAGATGAATAATCAGCCTTATTCCTCTCTATTGAACCATTTGGCTACATTATCAGTAAGGAGACTGCATGAGATCACCAACAAAACAAGTCTGATTGATTAAAGATTGAAGAATTGAGACCTTCGGCAGTGTGACATTTTCAGTTTAGAGGCAAGAGAAAGAACTAGCAAAGGAGATTGAGAAGAGGTGCCCAGTGAACAACAATAAAATCAGAAGAGGGCAGCATCCCCCCAGTAAACCATGTCCAATGTTGCTAATAGAGCATGCAACATGAAGACTAACCATTGGCAACACGCACTCACTGGTGATCTTAACAAATGTCAGATTTAATGAAGTGGTGACAGCAACAGCCTCATTGGATTGGGCTGATAGGCCAATAGTTGAAGAGGCTTCATACTTTGCTAAATAACTATAAATCAAGAGGAAAACAGAGTTGAAAAAGCTGAGTCCTGAGGTCAGGCACTGATATGACAAATCAAAGACCCTCAGCCAGTTCTCAGGACTGAGCCAATTCACAGAAGCAGAGATAAACGACTGAAAGGAAGCTTAAGTCCTCTTGATAATGAACACTGGGGGTGGTAGTACATTTTATATCCCTATTCAGTTAACCTATCTGGCCTCTGCCAAAACCAGATGGATTATCAGATGAATGCACATTAGCATAAACTTAAATCGCACTTGCAGATGCTCTCTAGGATGTGGTACCTTCACTGAGCAGAACGTGGTTTCTGGTACTTTGTATGTGGCTTTTGATTTGGCGAATGTTTTTAAATCTACACCCTTTGTGAGAGAAAATCAAAACAATTTGTTTGTTGGGGTAAGAACAAAAGCACTGCTTCACTGTTTTATGTCAGAGCTGTGTCACTTCTGTTTTCAGTTTAATTGGCATTTTGCAAAACATCATGCTAACTCAATATATTAATAATATTACTTTAATTGGTATTCATAAGCAGGAAGTGGCAAGTTCCTTAAATATAGTAAAATAGTATTACTTTGAACAGAAGTAAAATATCAGAAGAAGAGAGACATAAACCTCAGCAGATTCAGGAACTTATAACATAGATGGTGTTTTTACAGGTCCATGCTCCTGGTCCTTGTGTCAAAACATCCTTTTTAAAGTAAACGGCATGTTTCCTGATACATAATTCTTCTCACTAAAAAAGAGGCACAGTGTTTTTTGGGCCTATTGGGATTTTGGAGTCAACATATTCCTCATTTGAGGATATTGCTCTGACTCACTAATGGAGTTTCCAAAGGCCATTGGTCTCAAGTGGAAACCAGAACAAAAAAGGGTTCCATAACAGCTATAGGGTCTGGCCTAAGCTGCTCTGCCCGTTGTGCCAGATGATCCAGCAGAATTCAAACATGCTAGAGGCATGCATAGTGGGCATTACAGGACTCTGTCCAAGTCTCTGACAAATCCACAGGAGAGGGGAGAGAAAACTCCTAGGGAATTAGTGCAAGACCATTCCCTCTTCAGCAGAGGAGTGCCCTCTGTCTCAAAAACAAAACAGCAGTTGCAGAAGATTAGAGACAAGAGAAAGAACCAGCAAAGGAGATTGAGAAGAGGTGCCCAGCGAACAATGATAAAATCAGAAGATGGCAGCATCCCCCAAATAAACCAGGTTCATTGCTGCTAATACAGCATGCAACAGGAAGACTAATGATTGCCCCTCTAAGCATGAGCGCCTCTAAGCACAAGACCCTGTGCAACAGTGGAAATCATATGCCCATAAAGCCAGCCATGATTGGAAGACATGAGCAAATCTGAGTGGTACAAGGAGTAGACAGTATTGGACTTAAACATGTGCTTCCTCAGATTCCCTTAACTGTCACTTATTCTCTAGGCCAGCACCTTGCCTGATCCAGATCATCCTACCATCCTTCCTTGAATGGAACACCACACTGTGGGCCTGAGGTCTGTCTTTCATAACAGCCACCAACGGACTGGATGATGGAAAGCAGAACAGCAGAGATGGTAGTTCCGCCTCAGGGAAACCCTGGCCAATGGAAAATGGAAGACAGAAGACAGCTGAACAGATACATTCTCCCTCCTCTCTCGCTTCCATGGACTAATGCTGGCTGTGGTATTCCCCTTGTAGCCTTTCCGGAAAAGTACTGGGGTCCAAGTGCATGCATCTGATGACCACCATGCTGTCTCTCTCACCTTATAATGAAGTTGCCACAACAGAGTCACATACACACAACACATTGTTACAATACATCCCAACACGTTCTTTCACATCTGCTCTTGCCTCACTTTCCACGTGCTCTTGCCTCAATTTCCACGCGTCCCTGCCATTGCTGCCCTGGACTTACCTTCCAAAGAAATGTTATCACTTTAATATCAGACACTGGCTCTAGTTCTAGACCTCCAAAGCTAAGATATTCATTCAGTGGTATAATTTATTTTTCACTCACTTTTCTGTGATTTTATAATATGGCAATTAAAATGTTCATTTAGAAAGGATATTAAAAATATTATATAAAAATCACATTTTAGTAAGGTAATTCATAACTAACTCAATTTTTAAAATTGAAATGCATTTTTTACATAATAACCAGCTAGAAATATCAGAATACAAATATATCATTCACAATCGAGAAAATATATACAAATATCCAAAAGTCTTTTATATGCTGTTTTGAAGGTATTGTAGTGGGTGCCATGTGATTTTGATGTTCCACCTTATCTCCATGTTTTTAGTCTGATATAGCTGCATCAAGGCTATATATAGCGATATTTCCCCTGCAAGTATGGAATAACCACACTTTTACTCTGAAAAATGCTTCTTCTTAGATAATTCTGTCATCTCAACCAGAAACCAGAATAGGCAAATTCATGCAACTGTAGATTTTGTGATGCTTCATTTTCACTGGTTCACCACCCCAAGACATGTAATTTATTACTCTATTCACTAACTCATTTGTTCTTCAAAATATTTTTGGCTATCTATTTTTTATGTGATCTTTTAGGTCCTGGCAGTCAACAATAAGCAAGGTCTGCAGGATCTCTGTTTTTTGTTGTTGTTGTTTTTTGAGACGGAGTCTCGCTCTGTCGCCCAGGCTGGAGTGCAGTGGCGCGATCTCGGCTCACTGCAAGCTCCGCCTCCTGGGTTCATGCCATTCTCCTGCCTCAGCCTCCCGAGTAGCTGGGACTACAGGCTCCCGCCACCACGCCCTGCTAATTTTTTTGTATTTTTAGCAGAGACCGGGTTTCACAGCGTTAGCCAGGACGGTCTTGATCTCCTGACCTCGTGATCCGCCCACCTCGGCCTCTCAAAGTGCTGGGATTATAGGCGTGAGCCACCGACCCCGACCAGGGTCTCTGCTTTTATGGTGCTTACGTTGTACCAGGAAAGATATATAATAAACAAACAAATAACTAAATCAAATGATTTATCTCAAGGTTTAGATAACATTGTTAAAATTTCATAACTCCGAGAATTGATACAGTCTGTAGAATTTACTTGTTTAATGACGTTATACATTTTTTCCTATAATAGAACTTGCTATCACTGAATATGTCAACACACTTTCTCTCACTGCATTATTTGCAACTAGATTATAATAAAACATATATTTAAGTCATTTCCTATCATCAATACATAGATGTCATAGACGTCATTTTAGAATTTGCAGAAAGTATAATTCAAATGATTTTCATAATTTCTATACTATTTTTACATGGAGTATTTTTTCAAGTAATAAAGATTTGAGTTCATTTATGTGATTTTTAAAAAGATTTTTAAATGTGGAAGATAGTGGAGAGAATCGGCAATTTAGGGGCTCTGAAGCAGTTTAGGAAAGAAACGGAAATATTTGGTATCCGATCTCAATTTCAAAAAAGGTTTTCTTTACCTCAAAAACTGGAAGAAATGACTTTTCTACCTGTATATGGAGACTTATGACAGCAGTTAAGAGGTCAGCATTGTGTTTCTTTCTTCATCCCTATTACAGATATGACTTTTTTCTCAGTTGTTCACATATTTGTATAAAATCTAATATTCCTCAGTACTGATGATGGTAGACATATACAAAATGTATTCCAAATATATTTTTCATCCTTGAATTTTATTTTGTGCATAGTTTTCTAACAATAATTGTTTGCTTTAAATTAAACATAAAATTAGAATTCATTATGCAACAAAAACTACCCCAAAGATAAAACTTCATTATTGATTTAGATTAGAATGCGCATACCATCCAAAAAACTAGACGTTCAAATAATCACGTTTAAGCACACTATGGTACATACGTATGGTACAAATAACAGTGGAAAAGAGCAATGATTTTGTGAAATAAGCTGTAAGTTCTTAACAATTATAAATAGAGATCATAAATTTTTCAAATGAAACATGATAATATGAACTGTATTGTGAATACACATGGCTTCATGATTCTGAAAAATTTCTTACAATATTTTCTATAATTTGGCAGTTTGTAAAAAATGATTATGTTATTGCCACTCTCTCTTAAGTGTTTCATATACACATACACATGCATATATAGATACTTTTTAGACTAACTTTAGGTAAAAGACTTTTCTAGATATACTTTTGGAAATTACTCAAAAACATACAATACAGAAAAACCAGTGGAAAGTATAAAATGTTCCAGACAACATCAGTTTGTTTTCTCTTGGAGACACACGATGTCCCACTTGTGAATCTAGAAATTTGAGAGTTTCAGGTCTTTTACTCAGCACTTAATCTGACACAAAATCAAAAGAAAGGTCTGTTTCAGCTTCTTGCTTCCCCAAATTAGGATGA
The DNA here is from genome assembly GCF_000001405.40 of Homo sapiens. Taxonomy (NCBI): domain Eukaryota; kingdom Metazoa; phylum Chordata; class Mammalia; order Primates; family Hominidae; genus Homo; species Homo sapiens. Next base: position 163,227 of record NW_003571050.1, read on the forward strand.
ATGAATGAAATGAAGGGTATATAATTGCAGTAGTTTGGCTGAGCATGAGGACAGGTTCGTTCTACAGCCTCCTCCTAAAATTCCAAATCGATGTGATTAGGGACAGAAAGTAAACAGCAAATAACAAGAGGAAGGAGGTCACCGTTTGCAAAGCTTTTATGTGGACCTTGGTGTTGGAATCTGGAGATCCTTTGCCATGGAACTGCATCTTCTTGAGATGTTTACACAAAGAACAGATTAAGAGCAGAAAAGATAACAGGGACAGAGTAAAGGGTATTAAGTTTGCAAGCGTGGTTACAGTCATATCTGAAAGGTGCGTCGGATCACTCAATTTGATCTCCCAACTCACGTTTCCTTCATATTCTTTTGTCCACATACTCTCATCCATGTTTACCACAACAAGATGACAAACCAAAAATAACAAAGACCCCAATAGTATCACTGGAATGACACTCTTAATTCTCCTTTTTAAGTGAAGAAAAATAAAGTTGGAGAAATTGGCAATCTTGAGGAAATAAAATATGCTGAGGCTAGTAGCAACCCAGATGCTGAAATGGTTGGTTACAGCCCAGGCATTAATAGTAGTAATTCTTACTCCTAAACTATATGAACCTGGATTCAAAACAGTTGCATACCAATGTAATAATATTACCCAGAGCAAACCAACTCTGGAGACTGCCAGAGCAGTGAGAATTTGGTCAGCAAAGGAGATCTTTTGTCTCTTGACCCACTCAATGGAATTTACCAACACTATGAAGCCATTAGCAAAATTCCCAAGAACAAATGTAACCACTACTAGAATGGAAAAAATGATGGGTAGAAAAGTTATCATGTCTGAACAGACAAAAAGATAGAATAAATGAAGGCCTAACAGCACTGGCTGTGATCCTTTAATATCCTGACCTTAAATTTTATGTGGACCTGATTTCTGAATGTGCAGTAACATTCTTTTTACTTTCAAATACTGTGACCAGTGTCAAACAAGAAAGTAGCAGTTTATGCTAATTGATAGTTCAATAATGTATTTATGGAAAACATTCTAATTTTCAAACAGCTCAACTTAATTCATTCATTCAATGTCTGTTCTTGTTAGAGACTTGTTAGATACTGAAGTAGAAGTGAAACCGGAATTTTCATTTGCCAGCATGCAAATAAAGACATATTCTCTTTCAGTGTTTTGCAATGTTTTCCTCATTTCACCTTTCCATAATTTGTGTTCAGTAACTTTAGCTGTTTGTTATGGAAAATGTGCCACATATTTCACACAGTAAATGCCTAAATCTTAAAGGGAGATTAGTTATAACTAGGATCATCACCATGACCAATTTTTATGCTAGATTTAAATAGACAAAATCCAAACTTTTTAATCAAAGTCATCGAAAATTTTCTTGGGAACCATGGGAATGCCAATACACCTTAAAATCTTATTCCTGCTAACCAGTACTTTTGTATGACATTAGTGTTAACAAGCTCATAAAACATACACACATAGACAGACACACACACATACACATACCCATCCAGAAAAAATGAACTTTTAAAATAATTTCCAAAATGGAAAATGCATTTCCAGGAGGTCATCCTGGTGAAATTAGTCCTATTTTCCCACTCAGGGTTTTCAGCCCATAAAAATATATTAAACATATCTCTCATACTTAGACCCTTGGTAAAGTTACTCTCAAGTCTATTGAATGTCTAAATATTTGTTATTTCATTAAAATATTCAACATTTTTGTAAATATTCCTGAGTATCCCATTATTTGACATATAATCTTGCAGTATTTTCCCACCACACACAGGGTGACTACCTTGCCCCTGGACTCTGAGTACACTCACATAGCTTGCTTTGATTAACAGAAAATTGGTAGACTTCACACAGAGGTTTGAGATGGTTTCCACATTGGAGTTTCTTTTCCTTTTCTGTTTATTATGAGAACATTGCCTGGCTACTACTCTGTTCCCAGAAGGAGAATGAGAAAATAATGGAGTCAGTTTGTCCTTGCCTGATCCAGCCTACTTTGTCCAAACTCTAACTAATTCCAAGATGCAGAACTTGGCCCATCTCATATCACCAGAGCCATCCAGCAAACCCAGCTTAGAAAAACTGAATCCAAAGACATGTGAGATATCAATATGTAATGTAGTGTTGGAGAGGTTTCTCTGGCAGAAAAACCTAACTGATATAGGTACTCTGCAAAACCAAGCGTGTGGGAAATATGTCCACCCTTGTTGTGTCAGGAATAGAGGAGCCAAAAGAAAAATAGATAAGGAATGGCAAAGTTTTGTCATGCAAGGTAGATAATTAAAGGTAGAGGCTGGGCGCGGTGGCTCACGCCTGTAATCCCAGCACTTTGGGAGGCTGAGGTGGGCAGATCAAGAGATCAGGGGATCGAGACCATCCTGGCTAACACGGTGAAACCCCGTCTCTACAAAAAATACAAAAAATTAGCCAGGCCTGGTGGCGGGCACCTGTAGTCCCAGCTACTTGGGAGGCTGAGGCAGGAGAATGGTGTGAACCCCGGAGGCGGAGCTTGCAGTGAGCGGAGATGGCGCCACCGCACTCCAGCCTGGGCGACAGAGCAAGACTCCGTCTCAAAAAAAAAAAAAAAAAAAAAGTAGAAAAAAACCTTTGGAAAGATCTGGGTACTTCAGGTAGCGTCTTCTCTTATTTCTACATGTTGTAACTAAAATAAAGTTCCCACTTCAACTCTCTTAGAGTTGTATGTAAAGATATATAAATGGTGAATTTTTTCCTAGGTATATAATGAGCAGAGTAATCAATAATTTTTATGGTGCACTTCTCCTAATAAATAATTTTCAAATAAAATTATAATGCACACTTAGAAATGAGTCAAAATAAAAATGGTAAACACAGCAATGTATTATAAACACTCATGTAACCATCAAATAAGGCAAGACGTGGAACATTGCAAAGAGCCTAGGTCCACCTCCATGCTGCTTTTCAAGCCCCTAAATGTTTCTTCACATCTGGTAACAATTTTCTACTTTTCCCAACACTTGGGTCACACAATACAATAAAAGCTTCGTCTAGGCCTTATCCTGCAAGTTGGAAGAAACAGGAAATTGATTTCATGTGATTAGCTTTTTGTTTTGTTTTGTTTTGTTTTGTTTTTGGCATAGCAGCTTGATGAGTCCAAACCACAAACTCTCCTTACAGGGAAATTCAATGAACAGCACTGGATCTCAAAATGCCATTCCAATAAATAAAATATAGTACCTCAATTACAAATACACCATTGTATTCCATGAATTAACTTTTATTTTGCTTATAATGTAGAAATGGGGCTCTTTGCCTTCAAACTGCATCATTACTCAAGTGAGAGATCAAAGAGGTGAGGGGAAACTTACATTTGATTTGTTTAGTCCTAAAATCCTCTTTTTAAAAATAAGAGATTAGGGTGTGGTGGCACGTGCCTGTCATCTCAGCTACTCAGGAGGCTGAGGCAGGAGAATCGTTTGAACCCAAGAGGCGGAGGTTGCAATGAGCTGAGATGGAGCCACTGCACTCCAGCCTGGGCTAGAGAGCGAGACTCCGTCTCAAAAGAAAAATAAATAAATAATAAAAATAATAAACAAAAATAATAGATTGATCATGAAATGGTTTATCTCTCTGATTGAAGAATTGTATTTACGTTAAAAACTAAATGTTTATTATAGTGTTCCTTGGATTAGTTTAAGGTCATCCATAAATAACTATTTTCTTAAGCAATGTATTTTAAACTAAACTAAACTTAATTTCTAAATCTAAATGTATTTAGCTTGACTTGAACTTTACCGTTTACTAATGTAACTTGCCCATAATGATATTCTTTATTTAAATTACGTAGGCATTATCCAATTTATGAATGTACATATTTCAAAAAGTAAATTATTTAATGGGATAGATGTAGATAGAGATGATGATGATAGCTACAAGGTAGACTGCTAGCTAATAAATGTGACCATTCATTTTTCTAAGTGCTACAATTCAGGGTAATGGGATAACACAATTATTCTTTCTCCTGGCTTTATGATTCTCATATTATTCTCAGCATCAGGGCTTAGACTGAAATAATACCTTTGATGGAGGACATTTCCCTTACCCCTTCATGGGAGGGAACTGGGGCTCACTGACGCTAGAACCAGCCAGCTGCTTTAGGGCTGGCAGGGGTGAAATCCACTCGCTGGGACCCACTGCGCCCAGCCCTCATGGGAGGGAGCACACAGGTGAACAGGTGCAGGAGCACTTTTGGATGCCAGCAGGAACAAATTCTGTGCAGGCCCCGCAGCAGCATCTGGGGGGGTGCCCGCACCCCTGAAACCTCGAGGGGGAGGGTGTTACAGTGCTCTTTTAGCTCTGCTATCTGCAGACGTCTTAAGTGTTAGTAGCTCAGTGGGCCCTTTGCCTTTTCGCTTGAGGCGGCTGCCTCTTGCCAGCAAGGGCAGAGGTTCAGTGTAACAACTTTTCGTATCTGCATTCCTGGCTCCTGAGCTCTTGTCCAGCTTCCAAGAAAAATGAGGTTGCACAACCGAATTGGAGAATGGTAAATGAGGGAGATTTTATTTTGATGGAAGTGACTCTCAGCAGGAAGGGGAGCTGGAAAGGGAATGTGAAGCAGGAAGGTAATCTTCCCCTGAAGTCCGGCTGTCTCCAGCCAGACTCTTCTCGAAAGTCACGCCTTCAACCTGTCCCTCTGAAGTCAAGCCACTTCTCTCCAACGTCCCACCATAGTCTACAACATTGAGCTGCTTCTCCTCTCGATCTTCAGCCACTTCTCACTACCGGTGGAGCCTGGGGTTTTATGGGCATAGGATGAGGGGTGGGGCAGGCCAAAAAAGGCAACATTTGAGTGGGAAAACAGGGATAGAAGTACTCCCTTTGGGCCACAGTCTCAGTCTATTTGGCTTGAGAGTGGGGCTTTAGCTGAGGACCCGCCCTTTTCTGTCTAGAATTTCCCAGCCTCCTGCTCCTATCACCTTCACATAGTATTTCATCAATGACAACTTTAAACCAACATATTTCCAAAAGTTTGCTAGCTATTTTTTTTCTTTTATTAAATTCTAAAAATCATAGCAAACATGTCTTCCAGCAAATAGCACCTGCTCTTTGGTTTTTCTGTTTTTTTGTTTTTTTGCATTTTCATATGAACATGTACAAATACTCTGTGCAATTATACAGTACGTAAAATTTATCATATGTATCAATAGCATCATTAGCAAGCCAAATTCTTTCAAATGGTTATTTGCATTCTCAGCTACTGTGATGAAATATGGAGTATTTTATTTTATTTTATTTTGAGATGGAGTCTCACTCTGTTGCTCAGGCTAGAGTGCCATGGTACAATCTCGGCTCACTGCAACCTCTGACTCCCAGGTTCAAGCAATTCTCCTTGCATCAGCCTCCTGAGTAGCTGGGATTAAAGGCATCCACCACCACACCCGGCTAATTTTTGTATTTTTAAGCAGAGATGGGGTTTTGCCATGTTGGCCAGGCTAGTCTTGAACTCCTGACCTCAGGTGATCTGCCTGTATCGGCCTCCCAAAGTGTTGGGATTACAGACGTGAGCCACTGCACCTGGTCCCTTGGAGTATTTTATTATAGCAAGCAATGCAGCACTACACATACAAAAACATACCCAAAGATTATACTAAGTAAGTTTTACACTTTAACACATTTAACTTTCTGGTTTTTTCTCTAATAGAGAGCCAAAAAATTATAGCAACAAAATATTTTTTCCAACATATATGTGTGCACATACTATGATTTTTGAATGGTAACAATATGACTGAAATTATTTTATTTAAGGATAAATTTAGGGATAATCATCCGTATAATTTAATATCTACAGTACCATAATTTATTGAAAATTCAGTAATTTCTGTCACTTTGTGCATTGTAAATAAATTGGAAATAAGAACAAAAGGTGTCCAGCAATGTATCAATATTCAAAATTTGATGTTTCAAATTAAGATTAGCATTAAGAATTTGAATTTATAGTTCTTGCTTATATATTATTTTTAAAATTAAAGAAAAGTTTTTTTGTTTTTTTTTTTCGTTTTTGAGATGGAGTTTCATTCTTGTTGCCCAGGCTGGAGTGCAATGGCACAATCTCAGCCCACTACAACCTCCGCCTCCCAGGTTGAAGCGATTCTCCTGCCTCAGCCTCCCTAGTAGTTGGGATTACAGGAGCCCGCCACCACAATCAGCTAATTTTTTGTATTTTCTAGTAGATACGGGCTTTCACCATGTTGGCCAGGCTGGTCTTGAACACCTGACCTCAGGTGATCCACCCGCTCAGCCACCCAAAGTGCTGGGATTACAGGCGTGAGCCACTTTGCCCGGCCCTAAAATTTTAACTTGTGTTTATAACTACTATAATAGTCTATTTGACTTTATTCAGCAAAAACTCTAATAATTACAGTTCTATCTATGAGAATATGTAGTTTCAGTGTAATTTTATATTCATTATTTTACTTTTTTTGCCTTTTAAATATTTTTATTATTGTGGAACATAGCATACAGACAGAAAGCAACAAAACCTAAAAGCACAGTAAGAGAAAAAGTTATAACTTTACTCCCCGTGTTTACCACATCTTGGTCAAAAAATAGAATTTTCCAGCCATCCAGACACTCCCCATATATGCCTTCTGTTGATCCCATTCTCCTCTTGTTTTCCTCCTCCCTACTATCCATATTGTTGTAATAGTCACTCATATGTTTCACTTTAGAGTTTTGTCACCAATGTAATAAATTGCAATGTATTAAAGATATATTTTTGAAAACTTTATATAAATGGAATTAAAATGAATGTTTTTCACTATGGATAGATCCTCTTACACTTGTGAGTATTATCTAATCAGCTCAAATTTGTTTATTTTCTTTGTTATATACATTTCTTGTAAACATGTCTCTCTAGTTGGTTCATTTTGATTACTGTATAGTACTATACTATTATATAGGTATGCCATAATTTATTTATCTATTTTATCACTGATAGACATTTGAGAAACTTCTCAACTTTAGCTATGAAAACACAGTGATATTCATGTGTGTGTATACATTTTCTGGTAAGAGTACCTGTACTGAGTCTTAAGATGTGCTCCTTCATCTTCATCAGATAATGCCATACTAAGCCAAAGAATTATATTAATTTATACTTCTAGGAGCAGTGTTTGAAAATTCTCATTACTTCTTGTTCTTTTCAAAATGAGTAATATCAGAATAATTTTCACACTTTTATATTTATATAAAAATTATTAAACTTAACATTTTATAATTCTTTTTCTATTCAATTTTAAAACGTAACTTTAGTTCAAAAATTACATATTACTCTTTTATCATTCTATGATTGTGATTTTATACACATTTCTCAAGAATGAATTGTATATTTTATGCACTTATTCGTATTCTATTATTAAATTTTCTAATCATTTTTCATGAAGTTTCAAATTCTCATTTGATATCAGCAAATAGAATTATACCAGAGATATGCCTTCAGTCAAACATTATGTCAGATCATTTTGAGAAAATATGATTAGTTATTGGCATGTTGCAAGGGAAATTTGGAGTGTTTAACAGGCCCTGAAAGGACTCATACAAAGTGTTGAAATATAAAAATGTTTATACATTTAATATAGGTGTCATGGGAAAATACAAATTCCACCATTACTAGTATGGAAAAAAATGATTGGTAGTAAACTTCCCATGAACTGAACAAACACACCTTAAAAAAAGGCAAGTCTAATATCACTGGGCATGATCCCCCTTAAGGTCCTGACCTTAAACTCTATGTGTACCTGAATTCTGAATGTGCACTAATATTTTTGATGCTTTTAAATTCAGTTGTGTGACCAATGTCAAGCAGTAAAGCACCAGCACATGCTTATAGATGAGTTCAATGCTGTCTTTATGGAAAATATGTTATTCTCAGAACAGCTCAAGTTAACTACTATTCATACACTGTTCTTTCTATTTTTTCTTTTGAAAAAATTTGAATAAAATTTTTCATAATGACGTTGAAGTAAAAGCTGATTTTTCACTTGCAAGCATGCAAATGAAGACATATTCTCTTTCATTGTTTTGCAATTTTTTCCCTCTTTAACTTCTCCATAATTTTTGTTCAGCAACATCAGTTGTTAGGAAAATTTTAAAACCCAATACATAGATTATATATTGGATATCTACATTTTTGAAGGGAGTTTGGTCGTAACTAGAATCATGGCCAAAGTGAATTTGTTTTCCTCAGTACCAGATTTATGTAGACAGAATCCAACTTTTCCTATCAAATGCATTCAAGATTTTTTTGGGAACCCCAGGAAGGCCAGTACTCTTTAAAATCTGGTTGCTGCTAATACCTCTGTATAACCTTATTGGTAACAAGCCAATTAACACGTACAAAGCACCACAACCCACCCCCCCCGCCCGCCCACACACACACCACATGGATGGGAGAAATTATTGTCCTATAATTTTCAAAATGAAGAATAAATTTCAGGGAGGTCATGTAGGTTGAAAAGTCCTTATTTTCCCACTCATGCTTTTTAGCCCATTTTCAATATTTATCAAACTGATCTCTCATGCTTAGGTCTATAAGTAAGTTATCCTTTTGGGTCTATTAAGTCTTTAAATATTAATTATTTAATTAAAAATATTAAGCAATTTTGTAAATATTCCTTGAGCACTTAAAAAACATGTGTTTTCCACTGAAGAAACTAGACTTCTCTACATGTGATATTTGAATATATTTTTTTCTTTTTAATTTATTTTTGATTACTTAATGGCTTAAGATTAATAGATGCTAAAATAAGACTCCAACCTTGGATTGTATTTCTTTTCAGTTTTGATAATATAATTGTTTCTAAGAAATGATCTTCAAGTCTGATGGCCAGGACAGAAACCCAGATACTCTGTTTCATATAGATATGAACTTAGACTATATTTTACAACTACTATCAGCCTTAGGATAGCCATCTGTAAAACGCACACAATAACAATACCCTCCTTGAGTAGGCTTTATGAGAAGTTAGTACACTACTTGTATAACTGCTTGCAATTTCACCTGTCTGATACAGGCAGAAACCAAGTGTTGCTAGGTTTTCATTTGATCCTGTGTTACTTGATATGTAGAAGTTACCTGTGAAAACTTCCACTCTTGAGTAGATACAGCAGGTTCCAGCAGGCAAAATATTCTTCTGCAGCAGCTAGGATAAGATAAATAAAAGGCCAAAATTATATTTTCAATTCATCGGAGAGCTGTGCAAACAAGGAGGGCCAGCTAAACTAAAATCCAGCACAAGGAGAGTCTTTATAGGTGAAGAGTCAACTTATATATTTAATGCAATCTCTATCAAATTCTGGCGGGCTTTTTTGGTAGACCATAAAAAACTACTCCTAAAATGTATCTGGAAATGCCAAGTGACAAGAGCACCTAGAGAAATAATTTAAAAAGAACAAAGTGGGGGGATTACAGTTTCTCATTTCAAAGTTTGCTAAAAGCTGGACTAATCATCAGGACACTGGCATTTTTAATACTATAGACAAGAATAATGAAACACAATTAAGAGTCCACAAATTAGTAACAACATTTATTATCAGCTAATTTCAAAAACCATACCATTTCAATTAAATAAGAATCATTTTTATCAATAAATGATGCTAGACAAAATGAATATTCTCATGCATAAAGATGAATTTAGGCTACTGCCAATGTCCATATAGAGGCTAGCAGCCTTGGATCCACCTGCACCCCACCCCAGTCTACGAGTGTGTACTCTGCCACACTACTGATGCTGCTGGCATGTGTGAACAAGGATGAGCCACAATGCCACTGCCCAACAAAGTGCTTAGGCTGGCACCATCCTTCAGAGTATCGTAACCAGCAATCCAGGAACACAATAGCCCTTCCAGCATAGCAGATTCCCAACCTTAAGGGGAAAGAGAGCAAAGCCAGGGGCCCAATACTAGCCTCCCAGAGTTACGGCATTCAGCGCGGGAGTGCTGAGCTGATCCTTGGCACCCCCAAAATCTACCATAAACAAAGCTAGTAAATGAAACCCACCTTATTCCGAAATCAAACCCCCAAGGGTATCAAAGAAGATAAAAGAAAAAAAAAGAACCCATCCAAAGTACAGCAATTTCAAAGATTCAAGGAACATCAGCCCACACAGATGAGAAAGAATTAGCACAAGAACTCTGGCAACACGAAAAGCCAGAGAATGTCTTCTTACCTCCAAACAACCACACTAGTTCAGCAGCAATGGTTCTTGACCAGGCTGAAAAGGCAGAAATGACAGAAATAGAATTCAGAATATGGATGGGAATGAAGATCAATGAGATTCAGGAGAAAGTAAAAACCAAATCCAAAGTTTTTAAGGAATGCAATAAAATGATGCAGAAGTTGAAATACAAAACGGTTATTTTAAAAAAGAAAAAAAAGTGTTCTGACAGAACTGAAAAACTAACATCAAGAATTTCAGAACACAATGGAAAGTATTCACGGCATAATTGAGCAAGCTGGGGAAAGAATCAACGAAGGAACCAAACTGATCTGACTGAACTAAAAACTCACAAGAAGACCATCCCCAAGGCACATAGTCATCAGCTTCTCCAAGCTCAAAATAAAAGAAAAAATGCTAAAGTCAACTGGAAGAGAAAGGACAGATCACCTACAAAGGGAACCCCATCAGGCTAACAATGGACCTTTTAGTAGAAGCCCTACAAACAGAAAGAGAATGGGGGCTTACATTCAGCAGTTTTGTTTTTTAAAAAGAATTTTTAATCAAGAATTTCGTATCCACCCAAACTAAGCTTCATAAGTGAAGGGGAAATAAGATCTTTTCAGACAAGCAAATGCTAAGGGATTTCATTACCACCAGCCGTGCCTCACAAGGGGTCCTGAAGGGAGTACTAAACATGGAAAGAAAAGATCTTCACTGACAACACAAATACACTTAAGTACATAGACCAGTAACACTATAAAGTAACCACACAACCCAATCTGCATAATAACCAGCTAACAACATGATGAAACAATCAAATCTTCACATATCAACACTAACCTCGAATGTAAAAAGGCTAATTGCCCCAGTTAAAGAGCAAAGAGTGGCAGGTTGGATAAAAAAGCGTAGCCTAATGGTATGCTGTCCTTAAGAGACCCATCTCACGTGTAATGATACGCATAGGCTCGAAGTAAAGGAATGAAGAAAAATCTACCAAGCAAATAAAAAATAGAAAAAAAAAAACAGAGTTACTATTCTAATTTCATAAAAAAAGTCTTTAAATCAACAAAGATCAAAAAAGACAAGGAAGGGCATTATGTAAAGTAAAAGACTCAATTCACGAGAAGACCTAACTATTCTGAATATATATGCAGCCAACATAGGAACACCCAGATTCATAATGCAAGTTCTTAGAGACCTATGAAAAGACTTAGATAAACACACAACACTAGTGGGAGAATTCAACACCCCACAGACAGCATTAGACAGATGATCAAGACAGAAAACTGACAAAGGTACTCAGAATCTGAACTAAACACTTGACCAAACGAACCTAATAGACCACCACAGAACAGTTCACCCCAAAAGAACAGAACACACATTCTTCTCATCTGTACATGGCATGTAATCTAAAATGAACCACACAATCTAACATAAAACAATTCCTAGCAAATACAAAACAACAAAAAATATACCAGTCACGTTCTTGGACCACAGCCCTATAAAAATGTAAGTAAATACTAAGACAATAGCTTAAAACCATATAATTACATGGAAATTAAACAACCCTCTCCTGAATGAATTTTGGGTACATATGAAATTAAGGCAGAAACCAAGAAATTCTTTGAAACTAATGAGAAAAAAGATACAACATACCAGAATTTCTGGGATATAGCTAAGGCAGTGTTAAGAGGAAAGTTTGTAGCACTAAATGCCCACATTGAAAAGTTAGAAAGATCTCAAATTAACAACCTAACATCCCAACAAAAAGACCTAGACAACCATGAGCAAACCAATGCCAAAGCTAACAGAAGACAAGGAATAACCAACATCAGAGCTGAAGTGAAGGAAATTGCAATGCATAAAATCATACAAAAGATCAGTGGGCTGAGGAGTTTTTTTTTTTTAAATTAAGATAGATAGAACACTAGCCACAATGATAAAGAAAAAAGAGAGAATATACAAATGAACACTTTCAGAAATGACAAAGGGGACATTACCACTGACCCCACTGAAATGCAAACAACCTTCACAAACTACTATCAACACCTCTATGCATACAAGCTAGAAAACCTAGAAGAAATGCATAAATTCCCGGGCATATACAACCTCCAAGACTGAACTAAGAAGAAATTGCATCCCTAAATAAACCGATGATGAGTTCCAAAATTGAATCAGTAATAAGAAGCCTGCCAACCAAAAAAAGCCCAGGACCAGACAGATTCACAGCTGAATTCTATCAAATGTATAACAAAGCACTGGTATGATTTATACAGAACCTATTCTAAGAAACTGAGGAAAAGGGACTCCTCCATAACTCATTCTATAAAGCCAGCAGCACCCTAATACCTAAACTTTTCAGAGACACAACAAAAAATAGAAAACTTCAGACCAATATCCTTAATAAACACAGATGAAAAAGTACTCAAAAAATACTAGCAAACTGAATCCAGCAGCACATCAAAAAGCTAATCCACCATAATCAAGTAGGCTTTATCACTAACATACAAGGTTGTTTCAGCATATGCAGATCAATAAGTGTGCTTCATCACATAAGCAGAACTAATTAACGAAAATCGCATTATCATCTCGATAGATGCAGAAAAGGCTTTCAATAAATTCAACATCTCTTCATATTAAAAACTCTCAACAAACTAGGAATTGAAGGTATATACTTCACAATAATAAGCACCACCTATGACAAACAAAGCCACATCATACCGAATGAGCAAAACTGGAAGTATTCCCCTGGAAGATAGGAACAAGACAAGGATATCTTCCCTCACCACTCTTAATCAATTACTGGAAGTCCTGGCCAAAGCAATCAGGCAACAGAAAGAAATAAAAGTCATCTAAGTAGGAAGAGAAGAAGTCAAACTATCCCTGTTTGCAGACAATGTAATCCTATACCTAGAAATCCCAACAGTATTTGCCCAAAATCTCCTTGATCTTACAAACAAACTCAGCAAATTCTCAGGATACAAAAATCAATGTACAAAAATTAGTAACATTCCTATATATCAACAACATCCAAACAGAGACAAATAAAGAAAGCAATCCCTTTCACAATAGCAGCAAAGGAATACAACATATAGAGGAATACAGCTGACCAGGGAGGTGAAATATCGCTACAAAGAGTATTACAAAACATTGCTCACAGAAATCAAATATGACACAGACAAGTGGAAAAAGATTCCGAGCTCATGGATAGAAAGAATCAATACTGCTAAAATGCCCATGCTGCCTAAAGCAATTTACAGATTCAGTGCTATTTCTGACAAACTACCAGTGACATTCTTCACCAAAGTAGAAAAAAACTATTTTAAAGTTCATATGGAATAAAAAAAAAAAAAAGAAAGAGCCCAAATAGCCATGGCAATCCCAAGGAAAAAGAACAAGCTGGAGGCACATTACCTAACTTTGAACCACACTGCAAGGCAACAGTAACCAAAGCAGCATGGCAATGGTACAAAAACAGGCACATAGACCAAGGAAATGGAATAGAGAGCCCAGAAATAATGCCACCCACCTACAGCCATCTGATCTTCAACAAAGTTAAGAAAAACAAGCAATGGGGACAGACCCCCTATTCAACAAATAATGCTGAGATAACTGGCTAGTCACATGCAGAAGATTCAAACTGGATACTTTCCTAATACATATACAAAAATCAAAGCAAGCTGGATTAAATACTAAAATGTAAAACCTAAAACTGTAAAAAGAAAAATAACACCTGAAAAATAACCTAGGAAATACCTTTCTGGACATAGGACCTGGCAAAGAGTTCATGACAAAGATGCCAAAAGCAATTGCAACAAAAACAGAAATTGATAAATGAAACTTAATTAAACTAAAGAGTTTCTGCACAAGAAAAGAAATTATCAACAGAGTAAACAGACAACCTGCAGAATGGGAGAAAATATTTTGCTAACTATGCATCTGACAAAGTCCTATTCAGAATCTATAAGGAACTTGATTTTGCGAGCAAAAAACAAACACCTCCATTTAAAAATGAATAAAAGGCATAGACAATTTTCAAGTGAAGACATACACACAGCCAACAAGCATATGAAAAAATGCTCAATATGAATGAATCATTAAAGAAATGCAAATCAAAACCACAACGAGATAACCTCTCACACCCCTCAGAATGCCTATTACAAAACAAACAAACAAACAAACAAACAAACAAAAACAGACTCTGTCAAGGTTGTGATGAAAGGGAATGCTTTTATACTGCTGGTGGGAATGTAAAACAGAAACAGCAAAGCAAGTACCACATGTTCTCACTTACAAGTGGGAGCTAAACATTAAATACATATGGACACAAAGAAGGGAGCTACAGACACCAGGGCCCACTTGAAGACGGAGGGCAGGAGGGGGGTGAGGATCAAAAAGTTACCTATCAGGTACTCTGCTTATCACCCCAGTGATGAAATAATCTATACAGCAAGTTCCCATGCCATGCAATTTACTTATATAACAAACCTGCACATATACCTCTGAACCTAAAATAAAATCTAAAAAAAATTTAAAACTGCAGAGAGAAGTGAGATTTCTCTTTAAATAAGGCAGGATTGATTTAGTGATTTAGTGATATTTGAGGAGTGGTAGTGTTTAGTGTTGATATCTGAGAAAGAGCATTCCAAGAAGAAAGGACACAAGTATGAAGTCCCTGAGGCAATGCTTGGCATATTCAAGAAGTGACACAAAGGCCAATGTTGCTAGCATGGGATGAGCCAGGTGTGTTTTAGGACAGACAGGCAGACAAAAACAGATCATTCAAATGATTATAGGACTTCGTAAGGATTTTGGCCTTACTCTGAATGAGTTGAGAAGCCACTGAAAAATCTGGAGCAGAAGAACAGCATGATCAAATTTGCACTTTTGCAGGCTCTCTCTGGCTGCTACATTGAGAATACATCAGGGGAATGTGCAGAACTAGAAAAAATTATTAGGAGTTGATAGCAATTATCTTGGCAAGAAATGCAGAAATTTAGATGAGTATGGCAGAAGTGACGACAAGGGATTGGATTCTGTATGTTTTTGAAGACAGAGTCTATAAAATTTGCTGAGATGAGATGTGAAGGAGAGAAAACGTGGACTCTATGTTTTTTGTCTAAATATCTGAAAGTCTGAAGTCTTCATTAACAAAAGGAAAGACTGTAGGAGAAACAGATTTGGGGATGGAAGGAAAGATGAGTAATTTGGTTTAGACAACTTAGTTCTAAGTTCTTGTCAGACATCCAAATGAAGATGTCAAATATGCTATTAGAGAAAGGATTCTGGAGACCAGGGTTGGGTTCTGAGCTGAAGGATTAAATGTTCACATCATCAGCACACAGAAAGTAAGGCCATGACCAGATGAACTTACCTAAAAAGTAAGAGCCAAAAGAGAAAGAAAAAACATAAATTTAGACCCTTATTTTATACCACACACAAAAATTAACTCATAATTCATTGATCATGGAGCAAAAACTTAAGAACTATGATTACTGCGATACTGAGACACTAACTGTACCAAATGCAAGAAATAAAAAATGGGTTAATCAATCATAATTCTATCTATGTATTTCTTTACTTAGATCATTATGTCCATAATGATTATCCCCTGCCTATCAATCTATCAATATTTACATTGCTATTTTAAATAAAACTAAATTAGATACTGAGTCACTATCACTCTGAATAGGCAGAAACTCAAGTGAAAACATTATTGATCCTCCCACATTCTCCCTAGATTTTTGGTCATGTTACTTTTAAATGTAACTGACATTTGAAGAAAAAAGCTTTATATAATGAGAAATATGTAAATAGATGTACATAAATAAATAATATATATAAATACATATGAATAATCAGCCTTATTCCTCTCTATTGAACCATTTGGCTACATTATCAGTAAGGAGACTCCATGAGATCACCAACAAAACAAGCCCGATTGATTAAAGGTTGAAGAACTGAGACCTTGGGCAGTGTGATATTTTCAATTTAGAGACAAGAGAGAACTAGCAAAGGAGACTGAGAAGTGGTGCCCAGTAAATAAGGAAAAAATCAGGAGAGGGCAGCATCCTGGAATGCAAATAAACTATATTCAGTACTGCTCACAGAGCATGCAACATGAAGACCGACCATTGGCAACACAGACTCCCTGGTGATCTTCCAAATGTCAGATTCAATGAAGTGGTGACAACAGCCTTATTGAAATGGGTTGATAGGCCAATAGTTGAAGAGGCTTCATACTTTGCTAAATAATTATAAACCAAGAGGGGGAAAGAGTTGAAAAAGCTGATTCCTGAGGTCAGCCTTTAACATTGAAAATGGAAAACCCTCAGCCAGTTCTCAGGGCTGAGCCAATTCAGAGAAGCAGAATTCAATGATTGAAGGGAATCTTAAGTCCTCTTGATGATGGACATTGAAAATGCACTGCAAGAACACTCAGGATGTATCATATGTTGCTTTCTCAAAGACCTGTAGCTATTCCCCAGAAAACAGTCCTCAGAGAACAGAACACACGTCCATATTATCTGAGACTTTTAAGTTTGGAGCCTGAACTAACACTAATATCTGGGTACCCCAAAAGACACAGTGGTCCATGGGATACGGTGGCAAATTTTTACTTCTGGATTTTTTTTTTTTTTTTTTTTTTTTTTGAGGTGGAGACTCGCTCTGTCGCCCAGGCTGGAGTTCAGTGGCATGATCTCAGCTCACTGCAACCTCTGCCTCCCGGGTTCAAGTGATTCTCATGCCTCAGCCTCCCAAGTGGCTTGGATTACAGGTGCAACACCACCACACCTGGCTAATTTTTGTATTTTTAGTAGAGGTGGGGTTTCACCATGTTGGCCAGGCTGATCTCGAACTCCTGACCTCAAGTGATCCAACCACTCAGCCACCCAAAGTGCTGGGATTACAGGCATGAGCCACCGCACCAGGCCCTTTTTGGGCTTTTGTTTGTTGTTTTTGTTTGTTTCTTTTTAGAGACAAGATCTTGCTTGATTGCCCAGGCTGGAGTGCAATGACACCATCATAGCTCACTGCAAACTCGAATTCCTGGGCTAAAGCAATCCTCCTGCCTGAGTCTTCTGGGTAGCTGTAACTACAGGCACACACTACCACAAACAACTAATTTTTTTTTTTTTTTTTACAGATTCTTACTATGTTGCCAAGGCTGATCTGAAACTCTCAGCCTAAAGTGATCCTCCCACTTCGGCCTCCTAAATTATTAGGATTACAGGTATGAGCTGCCTCAATAGGACTGGAGTATGAGTTTTTGAAGATCAGATGGTACATAGAGCTTTGGCCCATGTCCAACCCAAAGGGGTTCTAATGAGTTCATCGTAGTTACCCCTTCCTGAAAGTGTAATTGAAGTTGACAGGTTCAACAGCTGTCAGGACTCTTACATTTCTTCCTGACCTGTATACCAAGGGACATTATTGTAAGCAGGACCAAGGGGAGGCTTCTGAAATTCTACTTTCCTGGCAATAAAATGAATAAAACATAATAACTGCATTCTCCAGGAAACAGAATTGGTCGCTGCCACAACAAAAAACTCAAAAGTTCCAGGGGGCGGTCGTCCATTTTATATCTTTATTCAGTTAACCTAACTGGCCTCTGTCAAAACCAGATGGATTATAGGATGAATGCACATTAGCATAAACTTAAGTCACACTTGCACATTCGCTCTAGGATGTGGTATCTTCACTGAGCAGAATGTGGTTTCCAGCACTTTGTATGCGGCTTTTGATTTAGCTAATGCTTTTTAATCTACACACATTGTGGAGGAAAATCAAAACAATTTGCTTTGGTGTGGTAAAAACAAGAACACTGCTTCACTGTTTTCTGTCAGGGCTGTCACTTCTGCTTTCAGTTTAATTGACATTTTGCAAAACATCATGTTAATTCAATATATTAATAATATTACATAAAGTGGTACCCATAAGCAGGAAGTGGCAAGTTCCTTAAGTATAGTAAAATATTATAACATTGAACAGAAGTAAAATACTGGAAGAAGAGACATAAACTTCAGCAGATTCAAAGACCTATAACATAGATGAAGTTTATAGGGGTCCAATGCTTCTGGTCCTTTTGTCAAAACATCCTTTTTACAGTAAATGGCATGTTGCCCTATATATATATACTTCCTATCACTAAAAGGGAAATACAGTTTTATGGGGGCTTATTGGGGTTTTGAATTCAACATATACCACATTTAAGGATATTTCTCTGACTCACTAAAGGAGTTTGCAAGGGCTGCTTGTCTCAAGTCAAACCCGAAACAAAAACGGGCTCTATAGCAGATATAGAGTCTGGCCCAAGTTGCTTGGCCATTGTGCCAGATGATGTAACAGAATTCAAAGTTGCTACAGGCATGCATAGTGGGCATTATAGGACTCTGTGCATGCCTCTCACAAGCCCATAGGAGTGGGGAGAGCAAACTCCTAGCGAATTAGTGGAAGACTATTCCTTCTCCAGCAGAGGACTACCTTCTGTCTGAAAAACAAAACAGCAAGTGCAGAAGATTAATCCAAGCATAAAGCCCCTCTAAGCATAAGCACTTCTAAGCACAAGACCCTGTGCAACTGTGAAGTCATATGCCTATAAAGCCAGCCATGATTGGAGGGCATGAGCCAATCTGAGTTGCACAAGGAGTGGACAGTATTGCCCACAAACATATCCTTCCTCAGATTATCTTGACTGTCTTCTCTTTTCTTGGTCAGCACCTTGCTTGATCCAGATCATCCTTCCATTTGGGACTTCAATGGAACACCACACTGGGGGCATGAGGTTTGGCTTTCATAACTACCACCAAGGGACTGGATGATGGAACGCAGAACAGCAGAGATGGTAGTTCTGCCTCAGGGAAACCCTGGCCAATGGGAAATAGAAGACAGAAGACAGCTGAGCAGATACATTTTCTCTTCTCTTTCTCTTCCGTGGACTAATGCCGGCTGTGGTTTCCCCTTGCAGCCCTTCTGGAAAAGTACTGGGAGTCAAGTCCACGCATCTGATGACCACCATGCTGTCTCTCTCATCTCATTGTGAAGTGGTCATCAGCAGAGTCATATCATACATCACAAGACATGGTTTCACATTTGCTTTGCCTCAATTTCCACATGTCCTGGCCATTGCTGCCCTGGACTTATCTTCCAAATAAATGTTATCACTTTAACATCAGACATTGGCTCTAGTTCTAGACACCCAAGGCTAAGATACTCGTTTAGTGTTATAATTGTTATTTATGCATTTTTCTGTGGGTTTTTAATATGGCAATTTAAATGTTCATTTAGAAAGGGTTTTAAAATATTCTATAAAAGTCACGTTTTAGTAAGGTAGTTGGTAACTAACTCAGTTTTTTTTAATGAAATGCCATTTTTGTTTATACACTAACCAGCTGGAAATATCACAATACAAATATATCATTCACAACTGAAAAATTGTATGCAAAGATACCAAAATCTTTTATATTGATGTGCTTTTTAAAATGTATCACAATAGGTACAAGCTGATTTTGATGTTCCACATTATCTTCCCATCACACATCGAATATGGCTTCATCAGGGCTATCTTAGAGTGGTATTTCCCCTACAATTGTATAATGGCCATACTTCTGCTCTGAGAAATACTTCTTCTTAGATAATTCTGTAACCTCAAGTTGAAACCAGAAAATAAAAATTTATGCAACTTTGGATTTTGTGATGAAGTTTCATTTTCATTGGTTTGCCACTCCCATATAGTTAGTTTACTGCTTTATTCACCAATTTACTTGTTCATCAAAATATTCTTAAATACCTATTCTATGTGTTGTCTTTTAGGCCCTGGGAGTCAACAGTAAGCAAGATCTATATGATCTCTGCTTTTATGGTGCTTACATTGTACCAGGAAAGATATATGATAAACAAACAAATAACTAAATCAGATGTAGAGATGATTTGTCCCAAGGTTTAGATAATATTGTTAAAATTTCATAACTCCAAGAATTAATACAGTTTATAGAATTTAATTGTTTAATGATGTTATACATTTTCTTCCTATAATAGAACTTGCTATTACTGAATATATCAACACACTGTCTCATTGTATTATTTGCAACTAGATTATAATACAACATATATTTTAGATGTTTTCTATCATTAATACATAGATTTCATAGATGCCATTTTAACATTTGCAAAAAGTTTAATTCAAATGATTTTTATAATTTCTATACTATTTTTACATAGAGTATTTTTCTAAGGTAGGGAAGACTCAAGTTCTTTTATGTGAAGTTTAAAAAGAATTTCAAGTATGGAAGATAGAGGAGATCATTGGCAATTCAGGGACTCTGAGGTGGTTTAGAAAAAAAAACCTGAAATACTTGACATCAGATCTCAACTTCAAAAAAGGTTTTCTTTAACTCAAAAACTGGAAGAAATGACTTTTCTAACTGCATGTTGAGACTTATGACAACATAAGTCATCACGGTGTTTCTTTCTTCATCCTTATTATAGAAATGACTTTTTTCTCAAATGTTCACATATTTGTATTAAGTCTATTATTCCTCAGTACTGTTTATGGTAGACATATACAAAATGTGTTCTAAATATATTTGTCATCCTTGAATATTATTCTGTGCATCTTTTTCTGAAAATAATTATGCTGGCTATAAACTAAACATAAAATTAGAATTCATGATGAAATAAAAACTACCCCAAAGATGAAACCTCATTATTGATTTAGAATTGAGTGTGCTTACTATCAAAAAATTTAGATGTTTAAGCACACTGTGGTACATATGTGTGGTAAAAATCAGTGGAAAAGAGCAAAGATTTTGAGATAATGTGTCACTTCTTAACAATTATAAGTAAAGATCACACAGTTTTCAAGTGAAACATGATAATATGAAATGTATATGTGAAATATACATGGGTTCATGATTCTGAAAAACTTCTTACCATATTTTCTATAATTTGGCATCTTGTGAAAATATGATTAACATTATGTTATTGTCAATGTCTTTTAAGTCTTTCATATACAGATGCACACACATAGATACACTTTTAGACTAACTTTAGGTAAAAGACTTTTCTAGGTATGCTTTCAGAAAATACTCAAAAACATACACTACAGAAAAAACAGTAAAAAGTATAAAATGTTCCAGACACTATCAGTTTGTTTTCTCCTAGAATACACACACAATGTCCCACTTGTGAATCTAGAGAGTTGAGAGTTTCAGGTCTTTTACTCAGCACCTAATCTGACACAAAATCAAAAGAAAGGTGTGTTTTAGCTTCTTGGTTCTCCAAATTAGGATGAATGAGTCGAATGCAAGATATATGTTTCCAACAGCCTTGCTAACCATGACAACCGGGTCATTCCGCAGCCTCCTAGGACTCCAAACCGAAACGATTAGGAATAGAAAGAAAATGGCACATAACAAGAGGAAGGAGATCAGAGTTTGCAAAGCTTTTATGTGGACCTTGGTGCTGAGATCTTGCGATCCTTCTCCATGGAGCTGCATCTTCTTGAGATGTTTACACAGAGAACAGATTAGCATCAGAAAAGATATCAGGGACAGAGTAAAGGGTATGAAGCTCCATAGGGTAGTTACAGTCAAATATGAAAGATGTACTGTATTCCTCAATTTCATCTTCCCAGTCATGTTTCCTTCATATTCTTCTGCCCACATACTCTCATCCATGTTTGCCACAAGAAGATGACAAACCAAAAATATCAAAGTCCCCAACAGTATCACCAGAATGACACTCCTAACTCTCCTCTTTAAATGAAGAAAAAGAAGGTTGGAGAAATTGGCAATCTTGAGCAAATAAAATATGCTGAGGTTAGCAGCAAGCCACATGCTGAAATGGTTGGTTACAACCCAGGCATTATAAGAAGTAATTCTTAATTCTACACTATAAAAAGCTGGATTCAACACAGTTAAATACCAATTTAATAATAATGCCCAGAGCAAACCAATTCTGGAGACCGCCAGAGCAGTGAGAATTTGGTCAGCTGAGGAGATCTTTTTTCTCTTCACCCAGTCAATGAAATTTACCAGTGCTATGAAGCCATTGGCAAAGTTTCCGAGAACAAATAAAACCATTATTAGAATTGAAAAAAAAATGTATAGAAAAGTTATCATATCTGAGCAGAAAAAAAGAAAGAAAATGCAAGCCTAATATCACTGGTTGTGATTTCTTTAATACTCTGACCTTAAATTTTATGTGCATCTGATTTCTGAATGTGCAGTAACATTCTTTTTACTTTTAAACACTGTGACCAGTGTCAAACAAGAAAGTACCAGCTTATGCTAATGGATGAGTTTGATGTCATCTTTACGGAAAACATTCTTATTTTCAAAACAGCTCAAATTAACTCATTCATTCAATGTCCGTTCTTGTGATGGGCTTGAATTATTCATAATGAAGTTGAAGTGAAACCTAAATTTTCATTTACCAGCATGCAAATAAAGACATATTCTCTTTCAATATTTTGCAATGTTTTCCTTGTTTAACCGATACGTAATTTGTGTTCAGCAACTTCAGCTGTTAGATAGGGAAATTTTACCCCCGAGTCCATCGTTCATACAGTAAATGTCTAAGTTCTTTAAAAGACCTTAGTCATAACTAGGATCACCACCATAACGGATTTACTATTTATGCTACATTTAAACAGACAGAATCCAAACTTTTAAATCAAAATCATCCAAGGTTTTCTTGGGAACCATAAGAAGACCAAAACACCTTAAAATCTGGTTGCTGCTAACCCAATACTTTTGTGTGAATTTATTGTTACCATGTTCATAAATAGATACAAACACAGAAAGAGAGAGAGAGAGAGAGAGAGAGACTGTGACACCCCTAAGAGATGGAAGGAATTATTTTCTTATACTTTCCAAAATGGGAAGTAAGTCTCCTGGAGGCCATCCACGTGAAATTAGTCCTATTTTCCCAGTGAAAACTGAGGGTTTTCAGACCCCCCCCAAAAAAATGTATCAAACATCAAACATATCTTTCATGCTTAAGCATTTGGTAAACTTACTCTCAAGTCTATTTAATGTTTAAGTATTTATTATTTAATTAAAATGTTCAACAATTTTGTAAATATTCCTGAGTACCACACCCTATGACACATAATTTTGCAGTATCCTCCCACCATAAGCAGGTTGATTATCTGTCCCCTGGACTCGGAGCTCACTCACACAACTTTCTTTGATGAACAGAAAATTGGTAGATTTCACACCGAGGTTTGAGATGGCTTCCATATTGGGGTTTCTTGCTCTTTTCCATTGATCATGAGATTATCACCTGGCTAGTACACTGTTTTCAGAATGAGAATGAAAACTAATGGAGTCAGTTTGCCTGCACTTGATCCATCCTAAATTGGCCAAAGTCTAACTAGCTCCAAGATGCAGAACTTGGCCCATCTCAAGTCACCAGAGCTATCCACCAAACCCAGCTTAGAAAACCTGAATCCAAAGATATATGAGATAAAAATATCTAACGTAGTTTTGGAGGGTTTCTCTAGTAGAAAAACCTAACTGGTACAGCTACTATGCTACACCAAGAGTGTGGGGAAATATATTTGCCCCTGTTTTGTCAGGAATTCAGGAGCCAAAAGAAAAATAGATGGGGAGTGGCAAAGTTTTGTCATGTGAGGTAGATAATTAAAGGTAATAAAAAAATGTTTGAAAGGATTTGTGTGCTGCAGGTAGCATCATCTGAAATTTCCATATGTTGCAGCTAAAATAAAGTTCCTACTTCAACTCTCTAAGAGTTGTATAAAAATGTGTATAAATGGTGAATTTTTTGCAAGGTATACAATGAGCAGAATAATTAATATTCTTTATGGAGCATTTTTCCAGTTAATAATTTTTAAATACAATTATAATGCACACTTAGAAATGGGTGAAAACTAAGATGGTAAACATAGCAATGTGTCATAAACACTCATGCAACCATCAAGCAGGGCAAAACATGTCACATTGCAAATAGCCTAGGTCCACCTCCATGCCACTCTCCAAGCCCCTACACCTTTCTTCACATACCCTGAGGAGAGCAATAGCCATAATTTAGAATGATCATTTCCTTGATTTTCTTTTTTTTTGAGACAGAGTCTCGCTCTATCACCCAGGCAGGAGTGCAGTGGCGCGATCTCAGCTCACTGCAACCTCCACCTCCCGGGTTCAAGCAATTCTCCTCCCTCAGCCTTCCAAGTAGCTGGGACTACAGGCGCATGCCACCACACCCAGCTAACTTTTTGTATTTTTAGTACAGACAGGGTTTTGCCATGTTGGCCAGGTTGGTCTTGAACTCCTGACCTCAGGTGATCCACCCGCCTCGGCCTCCCAAAGTGCTGGGATTACAGGCGTGAGCCACCGCGCCTGGCCTTGATTTTCTTTATACATTAACAACTAGGTATGCAACCCTAAACTCTATGATACGGTTTTACCTACTTTAAACCTTTAAGCCATATGTAGGTGTAGTCCTGTATGTTCCTGTTCATGGCTTCTTGGACTCACCTTTACGTTTCTGAAATTTACTCACATACTTGCATCTTTATGTGATTCATTTCTTTTCACTTCTCTATATTATTCCATTGTATGAATGTGTTGTAATGATTCATTCATCTTTAGTTGATACATATTTGGGGGGTTTCTTTTTTGAAGAGTTATGAATAATTCTAGTATGACCATTCTTTCATATATCATTTGATTCATTTCCTTTGGATATATACATAGAAAGATAATTACAGGGTCATCAAATATAGCTTTCAAATTCTCTTCACAGACATAGAAAATTCCGAATTTAAATTAACTAAATTCACTTTTTGATACCTTTACTTACAGACTATATATGGCTATTTCTATATATCTTATTAAATACTTAACCCAAAAAGACACCACCACTTTATACAGTCAAAATTTATTTAGACTTATGCACATATTTACCACTTCTATTATTTATTATTCCTTCATGCATGTTCAGCTTTATATTTTTAGTAATTTTCCTTTTATCTAAAAAATATTCTTTTGAATTTCTATTTGTTAAAGTCCGCTATGGTTTTGAAACACACTGAAGACATGATTCCATTGAATTCTAGCTTCAATTTTGTCTGTTGAAAATAAGATTGTCATTTAGACAGTTGTTTCTTTTTACATAAAGTTTTTCCTCTACCTACTTTTCAGATTTTCGATTGGTCTTTGATATCCTGTGGCATTTGTTTTTAATTGGTTTTAGTTATCTCATCTAAATTTTAATGGCTTCTGAAAATATACGGATGTCTCAGAATAGCCAAAGTTATCCTGAGCAAAAAGAACAAAACTGGAGGAATCACATCACCTGACTTCAAAGTATATTACAGAGCTATAGTAACCAAAACAGCATGGTACTGGCATAAAAACAGACACATAGAGCAGCGAAATAGAATAGAGAATGTGGAAACAAATCCACACCTATAGAGAACTCATGACAAAGGTGCCAAGAACATACTCTGGGGAAAGGACAGTCTCTTCACTAAATGGTGCTGGGAAAATTGGATATCCATTTGCAGAAAAATGAAACTAGATGCCTATTTATCACCATATACAAAGATCAAATCAAGGAGGCCTCAATGATTCAGTGATGTTTGATGAGTGATAGTGTTTAGTGTTGATTTCTGAGAAAGAGCATTCCGAGAAGAAGGGACACAAGTACGAAGTCCCTGAGGCAATTCTTGGTACATTCAAGAAATTACACAAAGTCCAGTGTTGCTAGCATGGGATAGCCAGGCATTTTAGGACAGACAGGCAGACAAAATCCGATCATTCAAATGATTATAGGACTTTGTAAGGATTTTGGCCTTACTCTAATGAGATGAGAAGCCACTGAAAAATCTAAAGCTGAAGAATGGCATGATCAAATTTGCATCTTCATAGGCTCTCTTTGGCTGCTATCTTGAGAGTACATCAGGAGAAAATGATGTGCAGAACTAGAAAGAATAATTAGGAGTTGATGGCAATTATCTTGGCTAGGTATGGCAGCAGTTTAGATGAGTATGGCAAAAGTGATGACAAGGGATTGGATTCTGTATGTTTTTGAGGGTAGAACCAACAAGAGGGTAGAACCAACAAAATTTGCTGATGCCTTAGAGATGAGTTCTGAAAGAGAGAAAATGTTAACTCCGTGTTTTTGGTCTAAGCATCTGAAAGACTGAAGTGGTCATTAACAGAAGAGGGAAAGGCTATAGAAGAAACAACGCTGGAGACTAGAGGGAAGATCACTATTTTGATTTGGACATGTTAGTTCAAGTTCTTGTTACGACATCCAAATGAAGATGTCAAATGACTTCTTAGAGAAAGGATTCTAGAGACCAGGATTGACTTCTGAGCTGAAGAATTAAATATTGGCATCAACAGCACACAGAAAGTAACTAAGGTTATGACTAGATGAACTTACCTAAGAAGTGGGAGTAAAAACAGAATGATAAAAACATGAGTGTAGACCATTATTTCATACCATATATAAAAATTAACTCATAATTAATTGATCATAGAGAAAAATATAAAAACAGATTACTGAGATACTAAGACATTAACTGTACCAAGTACAATAAGTCAAAATGGGTTAATCAATCATTATTCTATCTGTATATTTCCTTACTTATATCATTTTTTTCTATAATGATAATCCCCTGCCTATCAATCTACATGGCTATTTTAAATAAAACTTAATTAGCTATCTGGTCACCATCACTCTGATTTAGCAGAAATTCAAGTAAAAACATTATTGATGCTCCGACCTTCTCCATAGATTTTTAGTATTGTGACTTTTAAATGTAACTTTGACATTTGAAAAAAAGGGTTACATAATTTGATATATGTAACTATATGTATATAAATAAATAACATATATGAATAATCAGCCTTATTCCTCTCTATTGAACCATGTGGCTACATTATCTGTAAGGAGACTGCATGAGATCACCAAAAAAACCAGACATAATTGATTAGAGATTGAAGAATTTAGACCTTGGGCAATCTGATATTTTCAGTTTACAGACAAGAGGAAGAACTAGCAAAGGAGACTAAGAAATTGTGCCAGTGAACAAGGATAAAATCAGGAGAGGGCAGCATCCTGAAATGCAAATAAACCAGGTTCAGTGCTGCTCATAGAGCATGCAACATGAAAACTAACCATTGGCAACACAGACTTATCGGTGATCTTGCAAATGTCAGATTTAATGGAGTGGTGACAGTAACAGCCTCATTTAAATGGGTTGATGGACCGATAGTTGAAGAGGCCTCATACTTTGCTAAATAATTATAAACCAAGAGGGGACAAGAGTTGCAAAAGCTGACTCCTGAGGTCAGCCTTTGACATTGAAAATCAAAAACCCTTAGCCAGTTCTCTGGACTGAGCCAGTTCAGAGAAGCAGAGTTCAATGATTGAAGGAAAGCTTACATGCCCTCGGTAAACAACACTGAAGATTCACCACAAAAATATTCAGGAAATATTCACTTGACCCTTTCTCAAGCACCTGTAGCCATTTCACCTGTAGCCATAACAGTACCCAGAGGAAAGGACATATATCCATACTCTCAGAATTTTAAACATGGGGCCTGAACTAACACTAATAATATTTGAGAACTAAAAAAAGACACTGTGTTTCACAGAATGGAGTGGGAGGCTTTGTTTTCGGTTGTTCGTTTTTTTTTGTTTTTAGAGACAGAGTCTTGTTTGGTTGCCCAGGCTAGAGTGCAGCCCAGGCTGGAGTGAAATGGCACAATCATAGCTTACTGCAGACTCAAATTCCTGGGCTAAACTGATCCCCCTGCCAGAACTTCCTGGGTAGTTGGAACTACAGGCACGCAGTACTACAATCAGTTTATTTTCTTTAACAAACAGGGTCTTGCTGTCTTGCCCAGGCTGATCTGGAACTCCTGGCCTCAAGTGCTCCTCCCACCTCAGCCTCCCAAATTGTTTGGATTACAGGTGTGAGCCACCTCACCAGTCCTGGAGTATGAGTTTTTGAAAGTCAGATGCTGCATAAAGCTTTGGCTCATGTTCAACCTAAGGTGGATGTAATGGGTTTATATTTATTATCTCTTCCAGAATGTTAAATGAAATTAACAGTTTCAACAGCTAGCAGAACTCTCACATTGCTTCCAGACCTGTATATTAAGGGACATTACTGTAAGTAGGACCAAAAAGAGTCCTCGGTAATTCTCCTCTTCTGGCAAGAAAATGAGTAAAACATACTAACCGCATTGTCCAAGGAATAGAATTGGTCACCGACATGACAAAAAACTCAAAAGTTCCAGGAGGTGGTTGTCCATTTTTGATCCCTATTCTGTTAACCTATCTGGCTTCTGCCAAAGCCAGATGGATTATCAGATGAATGCACATTAGCATAAACTTAAATCACACTTGCAGATGCTCTCTAGGATGTGGTACCTTCACTGAGAAAACATGGTTTCTGGTTCTTTGTATGAGGCGTTTGATTTGGTGAATGCTTTTTAATCTACATCGATTGGGAGAGAAAATCAAAATGATTTGTTTTGGTGAGGTAAGAACAAAAGCACTGCTTCACTGTTTTATGTCATGGCTACGTCACTTCTGTTTTCAGTTTAATTGGCATTTTGCAAAACATCATGCTAACTCAATATATTAATAATATTGCATTAACTGTTACCCATAAGCAGGAAGTGATGAGTTTCTCAAATATAGTAAAATACCATAACATTGAACAGAACTAAATACCAGAAGAAGAAAGATGAACAAGAAGATTCAGTGACCTATAACATAGATGATGATTTTAGGGGTCCAGTGCTCCTAGTCCACATGCTGAAACACCCTTTTAAAGTAAACAGCATGTTGCTCTCTATACATCTATTTCCTGTCACTAAAAATGAGACACAATATTTGTTGGGCCTACTGGGATTTGGGAGCCAACGTATTCCACATTTGAGGATACTGCTCTGATTCACTAATGAAGTTGCCAAAGGCTACTGGTCTCAAGTGGAACTAGAACAAAAAATGCCTCTAGCAAATGTAGGCTCTAGTCCAAGCTGCTGTGCTCATTGTGACAGATAATCCAGCAGAATTCAAACCCGCTAGAGGCATGCATGCATAGTGGGCATTATAAGACTCTGTGCATGCTTCTCACAAGCCCACAGGAGAGGGGAGAGCAAACCCCTAGCCAATTAGTGCAAGACCATTCCCTCTTTAGCAGAGGAGTGCCCTCTGTCTCAAAAACAAAACAGCAGGTGCAGAAAATTAACCCATGTATAAAGCCCTTCTAAGCGTGTGCGTCTCTAAGCACAAGACCCTGTGCAACAGTGGAAATTATATGCTCATAGTCAGCCATGATTGGAGG
The DNA here is from genome assembly GCF_000001405.40 of Homo sapiens. Taxonomy (NCBI): domain Eukaryota; kingdom Metazoa; phylum Chordata; class Mammalia; order Primates; family Hominidae; genus Homo; species Homo sapiens. The sequence goes on from NW_003571050.1 coordinate 192,781, forward strand.
GCATGAGCACATCTGAATGGCACAAGGAGTGGACTGCATGGGACACAAACATGTGCTTCCTCAGATTTACTTGACTGTCTCCTATTCCCCTGGTCAGCACCTTGCCTGACCCACATCACCCTTCCATTTGGGACTTGAATGGATCACCACATTGTGGGCATGAGGTCTGACTTTCATAACCTCCATCAAGGGATTGGATGATGGAAAGCAGAACAGCAGAGATGGTAGTTCTGCCTCAGGGAAACCCTGGCCAGTGGGAAATAGAAGACAGAAGACAGCTGAGCAGATATATTCTCCGTCCTCTGTTGCTTCCATGGGCTAATGCTGGCTGTGTTGTCCTCTCGCAGCCCTTCTGAAAAAGTCCTGGGAGCCAAGTGCATGCATCTGATAACCACCATGCTGTCTCTCTCACATCATTGTGAAGTGGTCGTCAGCAGAGTCATATCACACATTACAGCACATAGTGTCACATCTTCTCTTGACTCAATTTCCACATGTCCCAGCCATTTCTGCAGTGGACCTCCTTCCAAATAAATGTCATCACTTTAATATCAGACATTTGCTCTACTTCTAGACCCCTGATAAGATATTCATTCAGTGTTATAATTATTATTCATTCATTTTTCCATCAGTTTATAATATGGTGATTAAAGTGGTCATTTAGAAAGGATATTAAAAATACTAAATAAAGATTATATTTTAGTAAGATAGTTGGTAACTAAATTTTTTAAATGAAATGTCATTTTTGTTTATATAATAACCAGCTAGAAATACCACAATATAAATATATCATTCGCAATAGAAAAGATATGTGCACTTATACAAAAATCTTTTATATGCTTAGTAAAAAGTATTGTAATAAATGCCATCTTTTTATTTTCCACTTTGTCTTTGTGTCACACATCTGATATAGCTGCATCACTGCTATATTATAGTGATATTTCCCCTAGAATTGTGGAATAGCCAAACTTTTGCTCTGAGAAATTCTTCTTCTTCTTGGATAATCCTGTAACTTCAATCTGAAACCAGAACAGAAATGTGCACCCAACTGTAGATTTTGTGATGTGTTACATTTTCATTGGTTCACCACCCCAATATAGTTCATATTCATTCATTCACCAATTAACTTGTTCATCAAAGTATCATTTTTCAATACCTATTCTATGTGCTATCTTTATGTCTTGGGAGTCTACAGTAAGCAAGATCTATATGATCTCTACTTTTATGGTATTTACATTGTACCAGGTAAGATATATGATAAACAAACAAATCAGATGTGGAGATGATTTATCTTAAGGTTTAGATAATATTGTTAAAATTGCATAACACCAGAAATTAATACAGTCACACAGAATTTAGCTGTTGAACTAGGTTATACATTTTCTTCTTGTAATAGAACTTGCTATTAGTGAATATGTCAACACACTTTCTCTCATTTCATTATTTACACCAAGATTATAATAAAACATATCTTTAAGACATTTCCTATCATTAATATATAGATTTCATAGATGCCATAGTTTCTATACCCTCTTTAGATTGAGCTTCTTTTTAAAGTAAGGAAAATTTGAGCTTTTTGAGGAATTTTAAGGATGGAAGATAAAGGAGGAAATTGACAATTCAGGAGCTCAGAGGTGGCTTAGACAAAAAACTGAAATATATAACATCAGATCTCAACTTCAAAAAGGTTTTTGTTTAATTCAAAAACTGGAAGAGATGACTTTTCTAATTGCGTATGGAAACTTATAACAGCACTGAAAAGAGCTCATGATCATGTTTCTTCATCCTTTTTATAGAAATGATTTTTTCTAAGCTATTAACATACTATATTAAATATAATATTCCTCAGTATTGCTTTTGATACACATAAAAATGTACACTAGATATATTTTTCACCCTTGAATTTTATTTTGTGCATTGTTATCTAACAATAATTGTATTTGCTTTATATTAAACATAAAATAAGAATTCATCATGAATGTCTATAATCCCAGCACTTTGGGAGGCTGAGGCAGTGGATCACTTGAGGTCAAGAGTTCGAGACCAGCCTGGCCAGCATGGTGAAACCCCATCTCTACTAAAAAAAAAAAGAAAAATACAAAAAATTAGCCACGTGTGGTAGCGCATGCCTGGAGTCCCAGCCACTCAGGAGGCTGACGCATGGAAATCACTTGAACCCCAGAGGTGAACGTTGTGGTGAGCCAAGATTGTGCTACTGCATTCCAGCCTGGACAACAGGGCAAGACTCCATCTCAAAAAAAAGAAAAAAAGAATTCATGATTAAAAAAAAAACAAAAAAACCTACCCCAAAGACACATTCTCATCGATTTAGAATTAAATGTCCTTACCATCCAAAAAATTAGAGGTTCAAACAATGATAGTTAAACAGTTAAACACACTATGGTACATATACGTGATACAAATTACAACGAAAAACAGCAATGATTTTACAACGAAAAACAGCAATGATTTTCTGATATAAGCTGTCAGTTCTTAATTATAAATAGAGATCATAAATTCCTCAAATGAAATATCATATAAAAAAATGTGTGAAATACACATGGGTTCATAATTCTGAGAAATTTCTTATCCTACTTTGGTATAACTGAACAGTTTATATGAAAAGTTGATTAAAGGTATGTTATGGTAAATATTAAATTTTCATATACATTCAGACATACACACACACGCAAATGTATATTATATATATATACTTTTATATAATAAACTTAGGTAAAAGACTTTTCTATGTCAACTTTTGGAAATTACTCAAATACATAGACTACGGAAAAACTTGTGGGAAATATAAAATGTTCCAGACACCATCAATTTGTTTTCTGCTAGAAAACACACAATGCACCTCTTGTGAATCTATGGAGTTGACTGGTTCTGTCCTTTTGCCCAGCAAGTCACCTGCCACAAAACTGAAAGAAAGGTCTGCTTTAGCGTCTTGTTCCCCCAAATCAGAATGAATGAGTGGAATGATGGATATATGATTCCAAAAGCTTGGCAAAGCATTAAGACAATTTCTTTTGGTCGCATCTTAAAATTCCAAAACGATATGATTAGACACAGAAAGTAAATGGCAAGTAATATGAGGAAGGAGGTCACAGTTTGCAGAGCTTTTATGTGGATCTTGGTGCTGGGATCTTGAGATCCTTTGCCATGGAGCTGCATCTTCTTCAGATGTTTACACAGAGAGTAGATTAACAGCAGAAAAGATATCAGGGTCAGAGTGAATGGTATCAAGTTTGCTAGCATGGCTACAGTCAAGTTGGAAAGGTGCATTGCATTCCTCAGTTTGATCTTCCAAGTTACGTTTCCTTCACATTCTTCTGTCCACACATTTATATACGTGTGTTTCATCACAAGGTGACAAACCAAAAAGAACAAAGACCCCAACACTATCACCAGAACTACACTCTTAGCCTTCCTTTTTAAGTGATGAAAAATAAGTCTGGAGAAATTGACGATCTTGAGCAAATAAAATATGCTGAGGCTAGTAGCAAGCCAGATGCTGAAATGATTGGTTACTGCCCAGGCATTAGAAATAAAAATTATTACTTTTAAATTAGATGAAGTTGGATTCAACACAGTTGAATACCAATGTAATAATATTACCCAGAGCAAACCAACTCTGGAGACTGCCAGAGCAGCAATAATTTGATCAGCTGAGGAGATCTTTTGTCTCTTGACCCAGGCAATGAAATTTATCAGTGCTATAAAGCCATTGGCAAAATTTCCAAGAATAAATGCAACCACTACTAGAATGGAAAAAACAATGTGTAGAAAACTCATCATGTCTAAACAAAAAAGCAAGTAAAAAATTCAGGCCTAATGTCACTGATGGTGACTCCTCTGATATTCAAGACTTTAAGTTAAATATGCACTTGATTCCTGAATGTCCAATAACATTCTTTATACTTTTAAATTCTGTGAACAATGTCAACAGAAAAGCACCAGCTTAAACTAATGAATGAGTTCAATGCTGCCTTTATGGGAAATACTGTTAGTCCCAAAACAACTCAAATTAATTCTTATTCATAAAGTCTCTATTCTTGCTATAGGCTGAAATTTTTCATACTGATGTTGAAGGGAAAGCTGAATTCTCATTTGCTAGCATTCAAATAAAGACATATCCTCTTTCATTGCTTTGCAATTTTTTCCTTGTTTCACCTTTCCATAATTTGTGTTCAGCCCTTCAGTTGTTGGGGAAATTTTAATACCCAGTACATAGATGACACAAAAAATATATTGTTAAAAGAGCCTGGTGAAATCTAGGATCAAAATCACTATGGATTTATTTTTAAAGCCAGATTTAAATACACAGAATCTAAACTTTTTATCAAAATCACCTAAGATTTTCTTGGAAACCACAGGAAAGCCAATACTCCTTATAATTTGGTTGCTGTTAACCAATACTTCTATATGGCATCACTATTAACAAGCTCATAAACACACACACAGACACACACACACTTTCACTCTTCAAGGATGGAAGGAATTGCTTTCTTGTAACTTATGACATGGAAAATGAGTTTCCAGGAGCTCGTCCTGGTGGAATTAGTCCTATTTTTCCCATGCCAGATTTTCAGCCAATGAATAATATTCATGAAACATATCTCTCATGCTTAGGCTTTTGGTAATGCTACCTGCAAGCTTGTAAACATTCCTGAGTACCAGACCTTTGTCACATAATTTTGCAGTGTCCTCCCACCACAGGCATAGTGACAACCTTGCACTAGGGCTCTGAGTTCGATCATGTAATTTGCTTTGATGAACAGAAAATTACTACACTTTACATCGAAATTTGAGATGACCTCCACATTAGGCTTTCTTGTTCCTTTCCGGTTTATAATGAGAACATGTCCACACTAACACACTGTTCCCAGAATAAGAATGAGTAACTCATGGAATCATATGGCTCCTGCCTGATCCAGCCTTAAATCGGCCAAACTCTAACTAGATCCAAGAGGCAAAACTTGGACCATCTCAAATCACCAGAGCCATCCACCAAACCCCAGCTTAAGAAAACAGAATCCAAAAACATGTGAGATATAAATATCTAATGTGGTTTTGGAGAAGTTTCTTTTGCAGAAAAAGCTAAGTGATATAGGTACTCTGCTAATCCAAGAGTTTGAGAAATATGTGCGCCCTTGTTGTGTCAGAAATTCAGGAGCCAAAGGAAAAATAGGTTGGAAATATCAAAGTTTTTGTAATATGAGGTGAATATCTAAAACTAGAAGAAAACTTTTGGAAAGATCTGGAGGCTGTAGGTAACAGCATCTCAAATTTCTCCATTTTGCAACTAAAATAAGAATTCACTTTAGCTCTCTTGAGTTGTATAAGAATGTACGTAAATGGTGGATTTTCCCCCTAGGTATATAATGAGCAGAGCAATTAATAATTTTTACGTGACATTTCTCCCAATTTGTAATTTTTTAAATAAAATTATAATGCACACTTAGAAATGGGCCAAAACAAAAATAGGTAAGAGCAATGTATCATAAACACTTATGTAACCATCATGCAGGATAAGACATGGAACACTGCAAACAGACTAGGTCCACTTCCAGGCCACTTTCCAAGCCCCTAAACCTTTATTCACATCTCCTGAGATAAGCAATATTCATAATCTATGATGATCATTTGCTTGAATTTCTTTATACTTTACCAGCTAGGTTCACAACCCTAAACTCCACAGCTTGGTCTGTCCTGCTTTGAACTGTGTATAGGTGCAGTCCTGTGTGTTCTTCTTGTTCATGGCTTCTTGCACTAGATATCATGTTTCTGAAATTTAGTTACATAGTTGCATGTACATGTGATTCATTTCTTTTCACCTCTATATACTGTTCCACTGTATGGATTTACTGTAATCTTTCATATCATTCAATCATCCTTAGTTAATATATATTTGGGCAGTCTATTTTTGAGCTATTATGAATAATACTACTATCAGCATTATTTCACATATCATTTGATGCAATTCCTATTATGGGGTCATTAAATGTGGTGTTCAAATTATCCTCACAGACATAGAAAAGTGCAAAAAATAATTTATCTAAATTTGTTCCTGTCACCTTTACCTCCAGTCTCTTTATCGCTATTTGCATATATCTTATCAATAATATATTTAACTCAGCAAGACGCTATTATTTTATTCAGTCAACATTCATTTAGAATTATGCACATATTTATCATTTCTGTTAATTTTTATTCCTTCTTGCATGCTTAACCTTGTATTTTCAATATTTTTTATCTGAAAAATATCATTTGGATTTCTGTTTATGAAGGTCCTCTATTCTTTTGAAACACACTAAAGACATGATTCCATTGAATTCTACTTTCCATTTTTCTGTTGAAAATCAGGTTGTCATTTAGAAAGTTGTTCCTTTTAAAATAATCTATCTTTTCCTCTGGCTACTTTTCAGATTTTCTACTGGTCTTTGATGTCTTGTGACATTTTATGTTAATTTGTTTTTAGTTATCTTGTCTGACCTTTGATGGTTACTAAAAATATATGGATTAATACATTTTATCACTTTTGGGAAAATCTCCACAACATTGATTCTGCCCTATTTTATCCCTTTTAATCTTCCAGAAATCCAGAAGTATGTTAGATGCTCTGATTGTAGCATCAATGCCTCTTATCCTCTTAGCTTGGCATTCTTTGTCTTGTGGTCTCTTTAGGCTTCTTTCTTTATAGTTGTCTTCCAATTCACTAATTCTCTCTTCTATGTCTAACTGGTTGTTAACTCTGTCTATTGGATTCTCAATATTGATTATTTATTTTTTGCTATTATTGTTTTAGTAGCAGAAATTATATTTTGTTCTCCTTCTATAAATCATTATCTATGGAGAAGCAGAACAAAGCACTCTTACCACCAAGTTTTTTAAAAAAAGTTGGGTTCTTTGTTCAGTTGGTTGGCTTTGTTTTTTTGTTTTTCGTATGCTTGACATGAAAATGCTAACAATTTTCTTCTTTTCCCAAGACTTTGGTCACAAAATAGAATAAAAGCTTGGTCTACACATCCTTCCGCAAGTTGGAAGAACCTGGAAATTGATGTGATGTTAGTAGCTTTTTTTTTTAGGGGGGGATAGCAGCTTGTCTGTTGATGAGTCTTCACCACAAACTCTCCCCACAGGGAAATTCAATGAGCTGTGCTGGATCTCAAGATGCCATTCCAATAAATAAATTATAGCACCTCAACCCTAGCTACACCATTCTATTTTACAAATTAAATTTTACTCTTTTTTTATTAGCAGAAGTGGAGCTCTGTACCTTCAAACTTCTTCACTATCAGGTGAGATATAGAAGATGTGAGGGCTTACTTCTATTTGATTTATTTAGTCCTAAAATTCTCACTTTAGATGTGCCAGCAACCTGTGTGGGCTGATGACTTGGGGCAGGATGGGAGAATGCCAGGGGATAGATGCACAAAGGACTGGACACCTCCTTGCCTCCTCCCATCCTCCTCAAAACTTCAGCACAACTCTGAAGCAAAGTGTGCTTGTGGGAGAACCCAGAGTTGCTTAAGATTTAATTTCTGCCATCAGGTTAATGGAGCACCTAGGGAAATTAAGCTGAGTTTTAAAAATATCCAGAAAGTTAAATTTGTTGTACATGTGAGTTTCTGAACTGCGATTAGGCTTTACTTTACCTGGCATCAGGGAGTGTTATAAATCAATTATTTAAATATTCATGTAAGGTGTAAAAAGGAGTAGAAGTACACGTATCAAATTTCCATAAATAAACTTTGCAATATAAACGTAATTTATACTATTAATTCTTTGTCAATAAAATGTGGAAAGGTTAAAAAATAAATAAAATAAAACCTTCACTTTAGAAGTAAGAGCTTGATCATGAAGTGGCTTATTTATCTTTCTAATTAAGGAATTTTATTAACACCGCAACTAAATCTTTCCTATAGTGTTCCTAAGATCAGTTTAAGGTTATCTATAATGATTTGCTTAAGCAATGTATTTTAAACTAAACTATACTTAAAAATGTATTTGGTTCAACTTGAAATTTTCCATTTTCTAATCTAACTTTCCCATAATAATAATCTTTTAAACATTTATTAGACATTATCCAAATTATTTATGTAAACATTTCAAAAATAAATCATTTAATGAGATAGATATAGATGATGATTGGTGATGATGATAATGTCAGTTAAAAGGGGCCATGCTCTTCTATAAATGTGACTTCAATCATGTTTTCTAAGTGCTGCGTTTCAGGGTGATGGGCTCATGAACTTGTTTCTTATATTATTCTCAGCATCAGGCACAGACAAAGATCCTCAGACAGTATTTCATTAAGAATAAGTTAAAACCAATGTATTTCCAATGATTTACTGGCTATTTTTTTTTCTTTTACCACATTCTGAAAATCATGACAAAAGTGCCCTACAACAAAGAGTATTCTCCTTTGGGCTGTTTAATTTTCACTGTACTTTCATATGAACTTCATATATACAAATCCTCTATACAATTATATAGCATACAAACTGTATTTTATCTTTTAATAGTATCATTAGCAGGCAAAATTCTCTCAACTGCTTATTTACAATCTCAGCTACTGTCACTAAATCTGGGTTATTTTACTATAGCAGTCAAAGTAATACTACATATACACAAGCACACTCAAAGATTACACTAAATATGTTTTATAGCTTAACAGTTATCTTTCTATGTTTTCTTCTCTAATACAGTTGAAAAATTTATAGTAACAAAATATTTTCCCCAACACATATGCTGTGCACATGCATAGTATTGTGATCTTTGAATGGGAACAACATGAGTATAATTATTTCATTTAGGGATAAATGTAGCAAAAATTGTCCTATACACTTAATATCTATAGTCCTACATACTTTAATATTTGTACCTTATGAAAAATTCCCTAATTGCTGCCAATTTGAAACGTGTATCATGAATAATTAAATTGGAAACAAGAAAAAAGTCTATTGCAATATAGTTGTTCAAAATCTATTGTTTCAAATTAAGATTAGCATTAAGAATGTGGATGTACACTTCCTGCTTATATCTTTCTTTTTTAAATTAATTTTTAAAAGTATAAAATTTTATCCCTATTTCTTACTACTATAATGCTGTATTCTTTATTCAGCAAAACTCTAATTACGATGGTACATGTAAGAATATATTGTTTCAGCCTAGTTTTATATTCATTAATTTACTTAATATTTCTGCTTTTAAAATATTTTCATTATTCGGGAACCTAACATATGTAGGGAAAGCAATAAAACCTAAATGCACAGTAAAAGGAAAAAAGAATGTAACATTAACACTCATATTCCACACTTTCGTCAAAAAGTAGAATTTGCCAGCAATGAAGACATTCCCCATATATGCTTTCTTGTTGATATGATTTCCCTTTTGTTTCCTCCCTCCCAAGTATCCCAGTTATGATAATCACTTATATGTTTCGCTTTACAGTTTTGCCACCAATGTAATAAATTATAAGAATTTATTTCAAATTATAAGAATTATAAAAACTTAAAATAAAATTTCTTTTATGAGAAGTTATAATTTCTTTTATAAAATGTTATAATTTCTTTGGTAAGGAGTTATAAGAATTTATAATTTCTTTTATAAGCAATTATAAGAATTTATTTGCAAAAATACAAAAATATTCTTGCAAATTTCATATAAATGTGATTATATTGAATGTTTTTGATGTTAATAATTACTATTATATCTGTATATATTACTATGCTATCCATGTAAATCAAATTTATTCACTTTCCTTTTCATATATATTCTTTGTAAACATGTCCCTCTAGTTTGTTCATTTTGATTGCTGTATAGCATTCTGTAAGTATGTCATAATTTATTTATCCATTTTATTACTGATGGTCATTTGGGAGACTTCTCAACTTTAGCTATTAAAACTCAGCGATATATACTTGTATATGTATTCTGATATGAGTGCAAATCCTGGGTCTTAGGATGTGATCCTTCATCTTATTCAAATAATGTCACACTCAGACAAAGTAATTGCACTGATTTATAATCCTAGGAGCAGTGTATGAAAATTCCCACTGCTTCATATGCTCTCCAAAATTAGTAGAGTAATTTTTGCACTTTCATATTTATATAAAATATAATTAAACTTGGCCAGGCACGGTGGCTCACGCCTGTAATCCCAGCACTTTGGGAAGCCAAGGTGGGTGAATAACCTCAGGTATGGAGTTCAAGGCCAGCCTGGCCAAGATGGTGAAAAAATACTAAAATACAAAAAATACTAAAAATACAAAAATTAGCCTGGTGTGGTGATGCACACCTGTAATCCCAGCTATTCAGGAGGCTGAGGCAGGAGAATTGAGTGAACCCGGAGGCGGAGGTTGCGGTGAGCTGAGATCACACCACTGCACTCCAACCTAGACCACGAAGTGAGACTGTCTCAAAAATAAATAAAATATTATTAAACTTAACATTTTACAAACCTTTTTCTATTATAATTCAGAATGCATCTTTAGTTGAAAAATTACATCACTCTTAATTCTATGACTATAATTTCATGCACATTTATTAGGGATTAATTATATATTTCATACATTTATTTGTTCATATTTCATTATTAATTTTTCTAATTTTTTCTTGAAGTTTCAAATACTTTTTTGTTATGAACAAGTGTAATTATACTGGAGATATTTCCTTTAATCAATCATTACGTCAAATGACTTTGAGAAAATATGATTAGTTCATGGCATATTGTAGGGGAAATTTCAGGATTGTTTAACAACTCCTAAAAGGAAACAAAGAAAAAATATTAAAATATAAAAATAGTCTATAAGTTTAATAATAGCTGTCCATGGTAAAACACAAATTCTACCATTACCAGTATGGAAAACATGATTGGTATCAACATATCATGTCTGAATTCTTTTTAAGGCAGGCCTAATATCATTGGATAAGATTCCCTTTAAGGTCCTGACATTAAATTCTATGTGCACCTGATTTCTGAATGTGCATTAACGCTCTTGTTCTTTTTAAATTCTCTGACCAGTGTCAAACAGGAAAGCACCAGGGCATGCTAATGAATGAATTCAATGCTGTCTTTATGGAAAACATGATAATTTCTAAAACAGTTCAAATTAACTTCTATTCAAACACTATGTCCTGGCTATAAGATGAAATTTTTCATACTGATGTTGAAGTGAAAAATGAGTTCTCATTTGCTAGCATGCAAATAAAGACATATTCTGTTTCCTTGTTTTGTAGTACTTTTCCTTGTTTAACCTCTCCATAATTTGTGTTCAGCAATGTCAGTTGTTAGGGAAATTTTAAAAAGCAACACATAGTTCCTACATTGGATATCTAAATTGTTAA